>NW_025791797.1:300000-600000 GCF_000001405.40 Homo sapiens
TGGTAGCTCTCACAAACAGCACTTACTCTCACCAACAGTGACTCATGCCCCTCGGATAACAAATAACCAGCATTCTCTCTCTCCTGGGTGCTTTGGTGGGAACGGAACGGTGTCACCCCTCACCGAGTGGCTAGACCAGGAGGAGGGGGAGGCTGGCGGAGAGTGAGGTAGGGAGTTTACAATTTATCAAGATTTGAGACAAACACCTCGTTTTTTTCTCTAGCAATGGAGCCCTGTTCATAGAATACTATTTTCAGTTTTTTTCCTGGGGAACTTTAAAGTAGACTTATTTCCATGTGACATTTTGCTAATTGAGGCTGTTTCCAATAGGTCAGCTTACTTCAAGGTCTTGAAAAATGGACTCTTAAGTAAAATTTTTGGGGGGCGGGCTCTAGGGAAAGAGGATCTGCATTGTGTATATTGGCAGGGCAAGGCTTTCTTTCCGCTCCCCATTCGGAGGAATAGTTGAGTTTTTAAATAACCCCTTGTGAAATGCCAGCATGCTACTCAGCCAGAGCCTTTGGGCCTTCTGTGGTGCAGAGAATATTCAGACAGCAGGCATGCAGGCTCTGCGGGGAGAGGGTCAACCTGGGCTGGCTTTCCTACAAAAGATGTTAGTTACTGAAGGTCTTCCATGTATAAAGCCCAGTGCTGAGCACTAAAGAACGTTCAGATATGTAGAGAAGTCATACAACTCCATGTTTAGGTTTTCTCCTTTTGGGGAACTGAAAGGTGAAATGTGTTCTAGCAAGATCTTTTCACTGATTAATCTGGGCCCTGCTTGCCAATGCTAACTAGGGATGTGGGAGTCAGTGTGTGTGCTATGTGGTGTATATGTATTTGGAGTATTTGTGGCGTGTGCATGTATGTAGTGTGTGGGGTGTGTGTGTGGTATGTGTGCATGTGTGGTGTGTGTGTGTGGGGGTATATTTGTGGTGTAGGTATGTGTGTGTGTATGTATGTAGCATGTGATGTGCATGATATGTGCATGATACGTTTGTGGTGTGTGTGTGTGTGTGTAATGTGTGTGTGTGTGTGTGTGTGTGTGTGTGTGTGGTGGTGGGGTCTTTGAGAAGGGGAGGGAAGGAGAGAGAGGGAGAGAGAAAATTCCAGAGAAAATGCATGTTTTGTGGCAGAAGGAGGAGTGGTGCTATGAAAATTCCAGTTTGCTAAAGAGATTCTTCCTGTGATAGATTTAAACTCCGGGAAGGAGCCTGTCCATGTAAACAGCTCATTCTGAGTAAGGGAAGCACTCGCAAGGCCCTGCCCACCTCACTGACCTAGGAGGGGAGGAGAAGGGCCCGGGGCTCATATTTCTTTTGAAAATGTGACCCAGAGTGAAGCTGAAGTTCAAAACTACATGGTATTTTGGCTGAGGTGTATCCAGACTTTATTCAAATGTTAGGTCTTTTAAATGAACAATATTAGAAGAACATATAATTAATTGATGGTAAATAGAGAAAAAGAATCTTAAATCCCTGGAAATAATTTTTTTTATCTTGGAAAAAAATGTGAAAAGTCCTTTTCTTTTAAACCCTCCCTTCCAATCCTGCCAAAGTAAATGTATTTTATATTTCATCAGGAAGGTTTTGGACACTTAAGACTGAAAAGTCTCATAATGACCGCATTCTACTTGAAAAACCAAAATGATCTGGAAGGTTTATTTTTTAACTTTTGTTTCAGGTTCAAGGAACCAAATGTACATCATGGTTTTTTTTTGAAGAAAAATGTGTTGGGTGCACTGAGTTTAAGTACTGCTGGTTAACTTGACTTTCCCTCATGGGCCTTGGAAGCTACAAACTGTAAAGTCCCATGTGCCATCCAGGCCAGGGGGAATAGCCCCTGAGGCCCCAGAGGAATACAGAGAATGTATCCCTTGCAGACTGTGGCTGGCGTTGAGCCTGGGGATTCTGCCTGATTTGCCTGGAAGATACGCTTCCTGACTCATGGAATATTGACATTTAAAGGGACCTTTCACTTGTAGGAGTGATCCTAACTTCCCATTCAAATACTAAAGTCTTCCTGGCCGATCTTGGTTTGTCACCCAGGCTGGAGTGTGGTGACATGATCACCGCTCACTGCAGTGCGGCCTTGACCTCCTGGACTCAAGTGATCCTCCTGCCTCGGCTTCCCTAAGTGCTGGGATTACAGGCATGAGTCACCACGCCCTGCTTTGGTTGCTGTTAATAGAGATAGGCCTACCTATGCATTAATATTCCTGACAGTGACCTTACATGGTGTCTGGCTAAGCGCTGGTGTCATGGGAAGAGTCCAGCAATAATGGCTCAGGGCTTTGCCTTCTTGGCATTTAGCCTTTGCCCAACCTGTTAAAATCTGTTGGAATCTCAGTTCTTCCATCTAGCATCTTACCTTCTTGTGTCGTCTGTCAGTGTAGATTTGAAGCGTCTGAGAGTGTATTCCTTGAATCCTTAGTGGCCAAGATGACGACATGTCAAATGAGGAACTATAATTGGGCAAATTTGCCATCAGCCTGGATAGGTAGAGGGCTCAGGCCTCAGCCCTATTCCTGTTCAGTGTTTGTAGCAGTGACAAGGAGGCAGATTGTGAGCATGCCCCACAAATTTGGGCTGACGTGAAGCAGGGGGAGAGTGCTGCATATCCTGATAAATGGAGTCCAGATCTAAAACAGTCTTGAGATGCCAAATCTAAAGAGAAAGTGAATGGCAGGAAAGCGTGCAGTTGGGTTCTCAATCCAGAGTGCAGTGACATGGCTTAGCAATGGCATGTGGGAGAAAGGCTAGGTCCCTTCACTGACCGAGGTTCTGTAGACGTTAGCGGTGTGATATTTGGCTGTGTTTGTGCTCTGGAGAGAGATGGGTGTGAGAGCTCACACCAGGTTAGGAGAAGTGTTCAGACTGGCTTGTTTAATTGCAATGGGAATCACATTGTGTTTGTTTTAACTGGTGACTGCTTAACTTTTGAGGCACACTGGATTCTGCTCTTGAATCTAGGAATACCCTCTTCTCCCCTGCTTCTCTCTCTTCCCATTACATCAATCTGAGAAATAGGAAAAAACAAAACACTAAAGTGCTTTTTCATACTGTCCATTTTCCACTCAACACAGCACTTGTGTGGAGGTATTTCTGCACACAGCAAGCTATTCACTGGACACCACTGGGTATCCTCTATTTCAATTCAATTCTGAGACTATCTACCTAGAGATAGTATCAGACCCCACAGGTTAAGGGCTCCATCCCACAAGACTGCCCTTCACACGCCAATCTCAAGCAGTAGGTTGAGTATAGGTTATCACTTATACTTCTGACAAACAGGCTATAAATTGAGCCTCTCCTTGGCTTTGACTAATTTGCCAGAGCAGCTTGGAGAGCTAAATGAAACACTTTACTTACATCTTCTAGCTTATAAAGGGATAGAATAAAGGATAAAGATGAATGCCCAGATGAAGAGATACGTAGGGTGAGGTCTGGAAGGAGGTCCCAAGTGCAGGAGTTGGGGTGTGCCACCTCCAGGCACACAGATATGTTCACCAACTCAGAAACTCCCTGAACCCAATCCTTCTGAGTTTTCATGGAGGCTTCATTACCCAGGCATGGTTGATGACCTCATTGGCCATTAGTATCAGCTCAACTTTCAGCACCTCTCCCTTCACCAGAGGTTGGGGGTGAGGACTGAAAGTTCCAACCCTCTAATCACTTGATTGGTTCCCCTGGCAACCAGCCCCCATCCTGAGGCTATCCAGGGGTCCACCAAGAGTAACCTCATTAGAACAAAAGATGCTTCTAGCACCCAGGAAATTCCAAGGAATTTAGGGGCTGAGTCAGATGCCCCTGTCACTCAGGAAATCACAAAGCCTTAGGAGCTCTGTGTCAGGAACTGCAGTCAAAGACCAAATAGTAGAACAAAAGATTCTCCTATGGCCCCTATTGCTCACAAAATTACAAGGATTTTAGGAGCTCTATGTCAAGAACCTTAGTCAGAGGCCACATATATATTTCTATTATATCATAATATCACAATCAAGCAGAACTTTCACCCAGCTTTCATAGTTATTCTTGACCCTTTACAATGTGTAGATCAAGGTCTAGAATGCTCAACTCTTGTCCTTGACTAGCCATCCCATATACACTTCCTCCTGCTCAAGTCAAATCCTTCAGCTGGATGGGGATGTGGAGACACAGCTGTATCCCCACGTCTCATATTCATAGTCCCTGGAGGTGCTGTCTGGATTCCTCCTGACCTTGTCCCTGGTGACTCAGCAGCTGTGGACAGTGGCTGGTGGAGATGATGCATTTTGGCAGCTTCTCTCCTAGGCCTGGCTCAGTGCCCTGGGAAGATCGCACACTTCCTGATCCAGGCTTGTTCCTCCTGCTTTCCCTCCAACTTTTGCTACTTAAGGGCCCTGACCCCTTTGGTCACCCCATCCTGTGAGGGCCACATGCCACTGAGTCTTCCTGACATTTAGGAAGTCAACTTCCATCTGGCTGGAAATGTCCAACGCATGTTTGGTATGATGCTTGCTTTCTGAAGCCGTGTGTGAACTCAGCCATTTCTCCTAAGGGAAGGCCCAATTTTTCTAAGAAAAACTGCACCATAACTACCCTTGTCAAAGTCAACGTTGACTTCCCTGTTGCTAGATCCAAGGGATACTTCTCTGGCCTCATCTTCCTCAGTTTCTTAGCAGCATTCAAGACACTTGACTATTCTGTTTGACGCTAAATCTTCCCATGACCTAATATAGGGTGTTTTCCTTTTTATTCTACTCTAATTGATGTTCATTTTTAGTCTCTTCTGCTTGCTCCTCCTCTTCTACTTAATTTCAAATATTAGAATTGAGGGTGTCAGGCAAAGCCCTCTTGCCTGCCAAACTCTTTCTCTAGGGAGTGGCTTTTCTGGTATAATGGTTGTAAATATATGTAAATATACATACATACATACATACATTATGAAAATGTTAAGTGATGACTTCCAAATCCCTATCTCCAGCGTCAGATTTCCTTTCTGAGCTCTGGACTTGCATATTGAATGGCAAACTCAAGCTCTTCACATGGATGTTTTATGGACACCTCCAACTTAACATGACTCAAACAGAACTGTTGACTCTATCCTCACCAACAAATCAGTTTCTGCCTCAGGGCTATCCATCCATTACAATTCCTTTACAGCCATTGCTCAAGCCAAAAACCCAGAAGTCACCCTTGATTCCTCCCTTTTCCTCCCTCATCGGAAAGCTTTGTTGGTTCTACTTCTAATCCATGCACCTCTCCCCTTCTCTACTGCCATCATCCCAGTCCAAGGAACCATCCCTTTTCACCTGGGTTAGTACCAACAGCCTTCCAACTAGTCTTTGTGATTCCACTTTACCTTCTTCTAGCTCAGTCTCCACAAAGCAGTCAGTGTTGTTTAAATACTCTTCTATTGTTCTCCGTCTCCTTACCATAAGGCTTTAAATGTCTTGGGTGGCTTTTCCCTTCCTTCTTTATCCATTTCGTGCCACTGTTACTTGTCCGCACTGAATTCAGCCACACTCTAGTTCTTCCAATTCACTGACTTCCTTTCCACTTTGGAGCTTTTGTACTTGCTCTTCTTTTGCCGGTAATACTCATCCTTAGCTTTTTCCATAACTGGCTCCTCCTGTTTGAGGTATCATCTGAAATCTTATCTTCCCATGGATGCCTTTTTTGACCATCTTATCTAAAATTGAACAGTCCTCTCCCAACATTATTCTCATATCACCTTGTTTATTTCCTTTAGAACTTAGAATGTTAGTTTTCTTATTTATGTATTTGTTTACTTATTTTACTATGTATCTCCACCTCTAGGATGTAACCTCCATGAAAATAGGAACCTGATCTTTTTTGTTCCTCATTGTATCTATCGCACTGAGAACTGTGCCAGGCATATATTAGGTGCTCAATAAATATGTGTTGAATGCATGGTCAACTGAATATAAGCATCACACTGGAAGGTCCACTATATGCGGGAAGCTGTTTTAAGGTGGCGATCTTTGACTGCTTCCACTCTGGTAAATGGATCTGTCCAGGTATTGGCACATGGCTGCTAACAGGTTCCAGCCCTGGCTGTAAGCCTGCGTCTGTTCCTCAAACTCACTGACCTCCTTTCTATTTTAGGGCTTTTGCACTTGTTCTTTTTTTGTGTGCCAGGAATAGTCACTGTCAGATTTGGTGATTGGTTAGTCTCCTAACTCTCAGAGCTATAGTTTACTCATTTTTAAAATAAGGAGTTTGACCTAGATGACTTCTAAGGTCTCTTTAGGTATTTAAAATGATGATTCTGGCTGGGCGCGGTGGCTCATGCCTGTAATCCCAGCACTTTGGGAGGCCAAGGCGGGCAGGTCGCCTGAGATTAGGTGTTCGAGACCAGCCTGGCCAACATGGTGAAACCCCGTCTCTACTAAAAATACAAAAATTATCCAGGCATGGTGGTGGGCACTTGTAATCCCAGCTACTAGGAAGGCTGAGGCAGGAGAATTGCTTGAACCTGTGAGGCGGAGAGTGCAGTGAGCTGAAATCACGTCACTCAATTCCAGCCTGGGTGACAGAGCAAGACTCCGTCTAAAAAAAATTAAAGTAAAAAAAATAAAGTGATGATTGAAGCCAGTAAGAGCAATTAGCAATAGTGGTGCTAAATCTCTCACATAAATGAAATTTAATAAGAAAGTCTTCAAATTATTTTAACAGTCTAGTGCTATCTAAGCCATCTAGTCTAGTGGAGTTATCTCTTCTATATTCCTTGACAGAATGATGTTGATTTCCCTTTCTAAAACACAGTATTCAGAGGGACGTTTTAGCGTAAACTATAGTTCCTGCTGCAGTTTGAGAATGAGTCCATTGGAGCAGCAGAGGTGTCAGAGGAATATGTTTACTCCCTGCTTCTCCTGTTTGCAGAGAGCAATTTTCTTAGAGTAACACCTGTGGCCTCTTAATTTATTTCTGACTCATTTCTTCCCAAGCAGGGGGAGTGAGGTATCCAGTCGGGGGTATAGTCACAGATCCATGTATTTTTGACTGGATGGGGCTAAGCTCTGCAGATTCTATCTCCTTTATTACTTTCCTCCTTGAAGCAATCAAGGCAGTGATCCTGGTAAACCCTCTACCTCCTCAGTCTTCCCTTGGACAGGCTCTCCCAGGAGGTGGGTGATAGTGTGATGGTAGCAAGTCCATTGGGTCATCATATCCCAGCCATATTCCCCTAAAGAGGGTGTCCTTTCTGACCCCCTCAGACTCCAACCATTGTGATTTATGTCCAGTGATTCAGATGCCAGGTAATATGGTTTGATTCTGTGTCCCCACCCAAATCTCATCTTCAATTGTGCTCTCATAATTCCCACATGCTGTGGGAGAGACCCGGTGGGAGATAATTTGAATCATGGGGGAGGTATCCCCCATACTGTTCTCATGGCAGTGAATAAGTCTCACAAGATCTGATGGCTTTATCAATGGTTTCCACTTTGCATCCCTTCATTTTCTCTTGCCACCATCATGTAAGAAGTGCCTTTTGCCTCCTGCCATGATTCTGAGGCCTCCCCAGCCATGTCGAACTGTAAGTCCAATTAAACCTCTTTTTCTTCCCAGTCTCGAGTATGTCATTACCAGCAGCATGAAATTGGACTAATTCAGTAAATTGGCACCAGTGGAATCGGGTGCTGCTGAAAAGATACCTGAAAATGTAGAAGCAACTTTGGAACTGGGTAACAAGCAGAGGTTGGAACAGTTTGGAGGGCTCAGAAGAAGACAGGAAAATGTGGGAAAGTTTGGAACTCCGGAGAGACTTGTTGATTGCCTTTACCAAAATGCTGATAATGATATGAATGAAAAGGTCCAGGCTGAGGTGGTCTCAGATAGAGATGAGGAACTTCTTGGGAACTGGAGCAAAGGTGACTCTTGTTATGTTTTGGCAAAGAGACTGGTGGCATTTTGCCCCTGCCCTAGAGATTTGTGGAACTTTGAACTTGAGAGAGAAGATTTAGGGTACCCGGTGGAAGAAATTTCTAAGCAGCAAAGCATTCAAGAGATGACTTGGATACTGTTAAAGGCATTCAGTTTAAAAAGGGAAACAGAACATAAAAGTTCAGAAAATTTGCAGCCTGACTATGCAATAGAAAAGAAAAACCCATTTTCTGGGGAAAAATTCAAGCTGGCTGCAGAAATTTCCATAAGTAGTAAGGAGCCTAATGCTAATTCCCAGAACTATGGGGAAAATGTCTCCAGGGCATGTCAGAGACCTTCATGGCAGCCCCTCCCATTACAGGCCTGGAGGCCCAAGAGGAAAAAGTGGTTTTGCGGGCTGGGCCCTGGGTCCCTTGGCTGTGTGCATCCTAGGGACCTGGTGCCCTGTGTCCCAGCTGCTCCAGCTATGGCTGAAAGGGGCCAATGTAGAGCTCGGGCTGTGGCTTCAGAGGGTGGAAGCCCCAAGTCTTGGCATCTTCCTTGTGATGTTGAGCCTGCAACAGAAGTCAAGAATTGAGGTTTGGGAACCTCTGCCCAGATTTCAGAGGTTGTATGGAAACACCTGGATGCCCAGGCAAAAGTTTGCTGCAGGGGCGGGGCCCTCATGAAGAACCTGTGCAATAGCAGTACGGAAGGGAAATGTGGGGTCGGAGCCCCCATACAGAGTTCCTACTGGGGCACTGCCTAGTGGAGCTGTGAGAAGAGGGCTACTGTCCTCCAGACCCCAGAATGGTAGATCCACTGACAGCTTGGACCATGTTCCTCGAAGAGCCACAGACATTCAACGCCTGCCTGTGAAAACAGCTGGGAGAGAGGCCATACCCTGAAAAGCCACAAGGGTGGAGTTGCCCAAGACCATGAGAACCCACCTCTTGCCTCAGCGTGACCTGGACATGAGACCTGGAGTGAAAGGAGATCATTTTGGAGCTTTAAAATTTGACCGCCCCACTAGATTTTGGACTTGCATGTGCCCTGTAACTCCTTTGTTTTGGCCAATTTCTCCCATTTGGAATGGCTGTGTTTATCCAATACCTATACCCTCATTGTATCTAGGAAGTAACTAGCTTGCTTTTGAATTTACAGGCTTATAGGCAGAAGTGACTTGCCTTGTCTCAAATGAGACTTTGGACTGTGGACTTTTTGGTTAATGCTGAAATTAGTTAAGACTTTGGGGGACTGTTGGGAAGGCATGATTGGTTTTGAAATGTGAGGACATGAGATTTGGAGGGGCCAGGGGTGGAGTGATATGGTTTGGCTCTGTGTCCCCACTCAAATCTCATCTTGAATTGTACTCCTATAATTCCCATGTGTTGTGGGAGGGACCCGGTGGGAGATAATTTGAATCATAGGGACAGTTTCCCCCATACTGTTCTCGTGATAGTGAATAAGTCTCACGAGATCTGATGGTTTTATCAGGGGTTTCCGCTTTTGCATCCCTCTCACTTTCTCTTGTGGCCGTCATGTCGGAAGTGCCTTTCACCTCCTGCCATGATACTGAGGCCTCCCCAGCCACGTGGAACTCTAAGTCCAATTAAACCTCTTTTTCTTCCCAGTCTCGGGTATGTAGTTATCAGCAGCATGAAAACGGACTGGGGTATGAGCTTTCCATGAACTAAACACAGTCTACAATATGCATGTTTATTTAAGCTTGGATTTTTAAACAAAGCATTATGAAGAAAAAGTCTCAAAGGAAATACACCAAAACAATTAACAGTGGTTATTACAGGTTGAAAAGATTATGGGTGATTTTATTTTCTTCTGTGCTCATTTATATGTTCTAAAGTTTCTACAATGAAGTGCATTTTTGTTGTAGTATGGGAGAAAATTTTTGTTTCTCACTCCTTTGCCAAAAAAAAAAAAAAACACAAAAGGAAGAAGAAAAGAAAATCCTAAAAACAATAGATTTGCAACAACAAGACAAAGTTAACTACTCTGTGACTGAATTGCTGGAAGATGGGGAGCAGAGGTAGCGGGGAGGGGGAGAGAGGCAGGTGTCAGAGAATAAATGCCATGGCTGCCAGTTTGATTCGGGCCACTGTGATATCCTGGCCTAACAGTGCCCTGACACACCTGGTGTGCCTCACCCTGGTCTTTGCCAAGAGAGGTCACTTCCCTTTTTGTTTCTTGGTACAGCTATTAATGGTGGATTCTCCTGGAATGGCCTTCTTGGACTTTACCTGTCAGGGGGTCCTTACTGGAGCCTTATTTGTGACCAAATGATCTTGTTTTTCAGACCACAGCTGAGAAATCTCCTGGAGCCTATTTCCTTCCCGAGTTTGCACTTTCTCCTCAGGGAAGTTTTCTGGAAGACACAACAGGGGAGCAGTTCCTCACTTATCGCTATGATGACCAGGTAAGAACATTGGACAAGGATCTACCTTTGGCTTTGCTGTTTGCCAGTGGTCAGGAAACTGTCTCTAAAAGACCTTCAAAGTAATTATATTTTCCTCTTTGCAATACAAGTACAACAGACCCTTGACACCCTTGAAGGATCCCAGAATATGTGGATTGCCCATGTTTGCATGTAATTTCCTATATAATGTGCAGTTCTTTCTCTGCATTTGCATAAAAGTCACTTTTTCTTATTTTCATCAGAAATATATGATGGATTTGTTCATCTCAGCTATCACCACATTGATGATTCAATTCTGAAATTATCCAAAATTCTGTTTTCTGCTTATGTGTTACTTCTTTGCCCTCAGCTTTTACTTCATTTCTTTTACCAGCACCAATGTTGCATGCTTTTTTCCCCAAGATTACTTTTCAGAAAGGAACACAGTGTGAATGCCTGTGTGTGCATATGTCTGTGAGTGTGTGTGTGTGTGTGTGTGTGTGTGTGTGTGTTGAAATCATTTTAGGAAGGCTAACTAGAGAAGAAGGCCTTGCTTGGCTGACATGTGTAAGCTGAGCACTGGAAGTTGTGATTCCCTTCCATCCTCAATTCACCTTGATGCCATAATAGCATTTAAGATTATCCATCTTTGAAATCACTCACAACTTGGTGAAACAGAGAGTTTCAACTTTGCCTAATGCAAAGCTGGTAAAGCCTGAATTTATGGGGCAGTTGAGCAAACCAGGGTGGACTTTAAGATGATGTAGGGCCTGGGTGGATCTGGCAGACCTCAGCACCTGTAGGGCCCAAGTGAAGGTGAGGAGCTGGGGCAAGATCACCTTCCCATGGTACGTGATAGAGTGGAGGGAGATGGCCCAGTGACTGAGGCCAGCTGTGCTCTCCTCAGCTGTATAGCCAAAGGCCAGTGCATCCTGGTTTGATTTAGGTAAAGCCTAGTCAGAGTGCAAAAGACAGTACTCAAAAGGAACAGCTCTGAGAAATTCAGTCTGCCAACATGGGTAGATCCAAGATGTGACCACAGGGAGTAGGACCCTGTTCTGAGGGCTGGCTGGAGCTAGGCAGAGTGCTGGAGGTGGGCTGGGAGAAGGATGAAAGTCTTGCAGAGCATCAGTGGCTGATGCAGGACGGAGATTAGAGCATAGAGGGCAGGTAGAGGAGTCTGTTGCTCAGTCCTCTATCTCCCAGCTCAGGGGAAGACACTGCACACTCTCCATCCTTGAGGCTGCTGCTCAGTGACCTACCCTTGGTGGGCTTCATTCCAGAGCTGGGACTGGGGTGAAGGTCAGGGCTGTGACCCTCCAGACCGCTGTGGGCAGGGAGCCACACTGGTCATTGGGGCAAGAGTGGGATGAGACCAATTTCTTACTCAAAATGTCAACATTCAATCATATTTTCAAGTTACTTTAAAAGTGAGTGAGTGCATTACTAGTCATTGTGGGGAGCAGGGGTGGGCTGGGGAATAATTCTATATTTGCATTGTAGAGCCCAAACATTTGGGCCTGGTTGCTAATAGGGGCTAAAACATCATTAAGTCACTTTCTGCCTTCCCCCTTCCCTTGATGGATTTTGAGAGGGTCTATAATTTATAGCTCCTTTTAATCCAGAAATCAATAATCCAACAGGTTTTCATATGAGAACTTCAGAGGAACTAATTGAGAGGGCCGTAAAGGATAAAAGCGGGTGTCTGGAAAATACCAAGCTATGCATTTTATAATTAAAGAGTGGTTAATGTCTTCTCCAGGTTCCACAGATACTTTATATTTAACATAATAACAATATAAAAGCTGGGAAAAGGGGAAAACAAGCCCCTTCAGTCTTTTCAAAAGGTCTAAAGCAGATCTGAAAAGTGTGTGGCATGCTGTGGAAATTTCATCCTAGGACATAGTGTTCCAGAAAGCCTCAGTGACTAGCATATGAAAACACTCTGTGTTGCCCCCACTGTGTATTTCTTTTAGGAGAAAGGAATAATTTGAGACTATAACAAGCCAATAATAGCACCCACTTTCCTCTACTAAAGGCACAGAAAATAGGCGCTTGGACTAAACTAGGTTTATCTATTGAATGAACCTCAGGAATTTAATCAGCTAGAGACTGTTAACCCACCAACCAAATCCTGATTCTCTTTCCTCTTTTTTCTTTTCTTTTTTTTTGAGATTGGGTCTTGTTCTGTCACCCAGGCTGAAGTGCAGTGGCATGATCACAGCTCACTGCAGCCTCAACCTCCCCACCCACACTTAGGTGATCCTCCTGCCTCAGCCCCCGCCCCCCACCCCAGGTAGCTGGGATTATAGGCATTAGGCATGTACCACCACCCCTGGATAATTTTTTTTGTCTGTATTTTGTAGAAATGAGGTTTTGCTATGTTGACCAGGTTGGCCTCAAACTCCTGGGCTCAAGCGATCTGCTCTCCTCGGCCTCCCAAAGCGTTGGGATTACAGGTGTGAGCCACTGCGCCTGGCCAATCCTCTTTTTTCTTAATGCTGAACATGCTTCTCAGGCACTGGGGAAAGGATAAAACCAATCAAATACTATCAAACTTTTAAAAAATCCCCTGATCCTTCAGCATATGACAAAACATTAAGATCAATTAAGAACAAAGTCTCTGGAGTCAGACTGCTTTGGGTTTGAATTTGATTTGTCAGTTCTGCCATTTGATTTGCTGTTTTACTTTGGACAAGTTACTTTACTTCCCTGTCCCTTAATTTTCTCATCTATGAAATGGAGATTTGGATGGTATCTACCTTATGTAGGCGTTAATTCATGTCTCCCTGCATAGGGCCTGGTACATATAAGCATTTAATTTAGCTATTGTTATTACTAAGAATGTTGTTTGCAAACACTCAATTCAAAGAATCTCAGATATGCTTATGCTAAAAGAAAGGAAGAAGTTAATTCTTACTTTAGGAGATCTCATGCAATATTTTCAATTAATTTTTTATTGAGCTATAACATATGTAAGTAAAACGCATACATATCTGAAGTATAGAGCTTGATGAATTTTTAAGTATTTTTACACCTGTGTAGTTGCTACCTAGATCAAGAAAATGAACATTTCTAGCACCCTAGGAGGCTCCTTGAACCTCTTTCCGATCAATATCCCACATTCAAGAAGTAACCACCATTCAGACTTTTATCAGTATTACAGATTCATTTTGCCTGCTTTTAATTTTATTTTTGATTTTATATAAATGGAATCATACACCACATACTCGTTTGTGTCTGGCTTCTTTCACACATCATTATGTCTGAGAGATTCAACCCAGTTGCTGGATCCAACATAATATAGGGTTTAATGTCTAGCAGCCAGTTGTACTCTTTGGAACAAATTGTCTCATGTTGGAACAAATTGCAGCATACTGGGTGGCATGCAGCATTACTCTTGCACAGAAATTCCCAGGTTGTCCCTAAAAGGTTTTCAGAGCAGTCTCTCCAAAGATTTCATACCTGGGGAAATGGTGGGGACAGTTTTCCAGTGTAGCCTTTGTTATATGCCAGCAGCCACCGGCATTCCACAGCCAGAAGTAGGTACAGGGTCTGTGTGAGTGGCTGCCAGGGCAGAACCTGTGTCAGGTGGCATGGGTACCTACCTGTGGAATCTCCATATATATATGCCAGGGGTGCTGTCCTGCTGTCACAGTGGCTTGAAGCCAGAGTGACAAAGTACTTATGCAATTGAGGCTGCAGCCTAGTTTCTAATGCTGTTGGGTCAGATGTGGGTTCACTAGGATCTTCCTACCTATAGAGTACTCATTTGATAAAATGGGATGCAAATGGATGGTGTGTAGATATTTGCTGTCTTGGATGAACCTCACAGGACTTTTTAAAGTGTTTTATCCTGGGCGCATTTCATGAAGACCTTCAGGTCATTCTTCAAATGTCTCCTGGGTTAGATGCCTGGAAAACTAATAACCCTGAGGCCAGTAACACATAGCTGTGATGTAGGCTGCATTTAATGGGAGGCGTAAAAGCCACATTATGGATCATACGGAGGGCCGCGGCAGCTTCTAGTGAAGAAAGTGGTCTGAAGCCAACTGAGTAACAATGTGGTTTAGTGCAAACAGGACTAGTCAGGCAGCCTGGTCTTGCTTCTACCACTAATCAGCTTATAATCTAACAGAACTATTTAACGTTTTGGACTTTGGATTCTTTATTTCTTTTAAAAAACAAAGTGACTGGATTTCATGATCTGAACTCTTTCCACTCTAAAATAGTCTGAAACTACAAATAGAATATTCCACGTTGCAGAGTGTTAATTGGATCATTCTGATTATTGAGGCAGTCTTGCCAGCAATTCGGTAAACTATTACTTAGAGAATTATACAGTTTTACAGCTGGTGGAGACTTTGGCCCAAGTGCCTCATTCTACAAGTCAAGAAAACAGAGACGCCAAATGTGCAAATGACTTACTCAAGGACACCCGTGGTTATTTGAAAAACTAAGACCATTACACTCCAAACCCAAGGCTCTCCTGCTCTGAGATATATCCAGGAGCTTCTCTCAGAAGAACCACCTAGAAAATTATCTCCTATCCTAAAAATCCTGATTCCACTGTTTACAGTTAGTAGAGCTTTGGGGATCTTAATAGACCCCAGAGATTAAGATTAAGATTAATGGATGCCTTATCAGCTCATTCTCATCTCCTTCAGGAATTTGGAATTAGCTATGTGGAGAACATTCATAAGCATATTTATTCCTTTCCAGTTTTTAATAGAAGCCACAATTTTTTTTTGAAGCTTGAGTGAAACATTAACTGAAATTAAAATGGCACTGACTTTCTATTGGATGGGCACATTCTTAGAATAAAGGTGTTCTAGCACTTGGTTGCATCAGGTACATGAAGTAGCTAGAATGTATTAGTTTGGGACGACTGGCTAAGAAGGCTGTGGTTTCAGTTACTAGCCAGCCTGTCTCTGGGGTAGATTCTTTGGTCATTCCTCATAGTGGTTTTGGAGTTTTGTCCCATAGAGGACCTGTTCATAGGCAAACAGCTGGATATTGGTCACTGCACATGGTTCTTTTCATCGCTGAGTAAGTCAGTTTTTGGAGATCTGCTCTGTCTTTCTCTGCCTAGATCACCTTCTGGGAAAGGGGGATGGTGTGGTTGTTTTCCATCCTTACCTTGCTTCAACTCACTGAAGATTTAAACTTGGAGCTTTATTATGGTCACTGAAAGCCTGTGACAAGCACAGTGTTTCTCAGTTAGAGGTCATTTATTTTTTAAGGAGTTAGGAAAAGTTGTTTTTTGCATAAATATTCTTTTATTTCTCTTTATTTTTAGCATTTGTTAGGCATGGGGGAAGGTGGAAGGTGTGTCCTCCCAGACTTGGTGGATTTGCTGTAATGTGCTTCCTCCTCACTGGCAGCCATCGTAGGATAAAGGACATTAAGCACGAGCAGTAGGTGACTTAGAAATTGGGCCTCATGCACACTTTCCTATGTTTTATGAATTCTTTATGTGTGTACCTGTTAATATTAATATAGGGTATTAAAATAATGCTGACCTTGCCACTTTTAGTCTACTAGGCACCAAAAGGCAGGAAAAAAGGTTAATACCTTGGATTCCAAGCATGTAGGACAAGTAGTGGGTTTTGATTTTCCTAAAATTAACCAAGGATAATCCCACTAATGCAAGCTCGAAGCCATTTAGAGAACTACCTTGATCTCATGTTGGAGAGGTCCTTTTATACCTATTCATACCAGGCCATCCCTTCTCCCTGGTAAACTTCCTGCTCCTCTGCCCTTGACTAATTTAGCGTTTGCTGTGTCTCTTCCTGACCACATTTAAGAGGATTTGAGATTTTTTTCCAGACTTAAAAATGCTTTTGCCTGTACTCTCATCTACCATTGCTTTCAGTGACCACTTGGTTTTCAAATTCTTACTGTCTCTTGCTGCTTTCTGCTACTCATTCTGCTACTCATTTTTAACCTTTAAAATCTAACTTCTTCTATGTCCTCCAACCTCCCTCCCCCCACCACCTTCAACAGGCATCCTTTTTAAGAATTTCAGTTACTTTCTTCAAGTCACACCTATATTCTGGTATGAATCAGCCTATATTTGTAAAAGTCTGTGTTGGTACAATTCCATGTTTGTAAAGTCCTAAGGCCTTAATGACATCATAGGTGAAGTCATAGTTGACTCTTCTCTTTCCTTCCTGGGATGTCATTGGCTGCCTATTTGTATGATTCCTTGTTTCAATATGCCTCTCTAAATTGTATTTTCTTTACTGTTTCCATCCCAAAGGAGGCAGAGGGCTGGATGTGCAGCCTTGGTAGCATCTGGAATTGTATTAATAGCATGTCAGAGTTGAAAGAAAGTATAGGATTCTGGCTTTTCAGGTGAGGAATCTGAGCCCCGGAGAGGAACAGTGTCTTGTCCAAGATCACACAGCCAGGCAGTAGCAAAGCCAAGTGCCCGTTCTTTGCCCTTAAGCTCAGTTAAGACATTTTTACATCTAATCTGTGGGCAGGAAAAGTATGAGAGAAATGTTTGAATGAATTTTTAATACTAATAATAACAATAATATATTAATAATGAAGTCTGTGTAGTCTTATTTCTAAACTTCTTTTAAATGCCTTTTTTCTTATACTATTATGATAAACATAATTTTCCTTTTCCTCGTTTAACTATTGATTTATGCATTCTTTCTAAAGAGGAGAAATCTATTTGCTGTGAGTACATCTCTCTCAAAGTAACTTCTTCCGAACTTTTCATGAATATCTTGGCCAGGAGTTTCAATGTGGTTAAACTATTGGCAGCCCTCAGAAATATCACTTGACGTTTCCAAGTTATTTATGTAATCGTTTTTAGTTGGAAAGTATATACCAACTTCTGAAATTTCTGGTGAAAGAAGACGGACATAGCCCATGGGTCTACTGGGTATTTTCATCTTCTTCACTGACCAAAATGAGCAACTTATATGTTCTCCACATAGGAGAGTTTCTGTGTTGTTTCTGGCCTGTGTGTATAATATTTTTAAGCAGCAAGCCATTTGAGTTTGAATAGTTCATTCCTTTGTTAGTAAGTAATCTCGGTCAAATGTAGTTATGCTGCTTAAATATTCCAAGATTTAGCGATCTAACAAGAAAGCAAGCTCATGGTCTGTTAAGAGAAGACAAGAACAAATTAGTTGGAATAACTTGTACTGTGTTCACAGTTCATGCGTGTAGCAAATGCATGAATACTGCACATGCAACTGTACATGCTGTTCTGATTGACTGTGTCACACATGAACTCTGAATTTCATTATCATTGAGCTTTTTCACAAATCATGAAAGCATAAAAGAATTGTGTGGGTAGAGATTTAATATCTAGCTTTTGAAGGATGCAGACATTTTCCTCTTTCAGTGTCATCTTCCTAAACTCATATTTGGGGTACTGGGTGATTTTTATCACTTACACCCTATGGGTTAAGGGGTGGGTATAGGGTGGGGATGTTCAAGACAGACCCAAATGGATCTTTCCTTAAAAGTCCCTCACTACCCTTAAGAACACTGAGAGATAAGTTCTGTTCTGACAGGGCCCTTGCTGCTTACCGTCAGATCATCCTTTCTCTTTGAGATCAGATCAGTCCCTACTCACATATCCTCACAGCCTTCAAGTGCTTTGAGATGAGGTTGTTTTGAGCAACTCAGTTCTGTCACAATCCCTGGATGAAAGAAAGCAAGTAGACTTTCCTCTCCACCATCTCCTCTCTTCAGTGGCCTTTTATGACTTGCTTTTCTGTTCTTCCTCCTGTTTTATCCTTTGTTTATTGATTTCCCCTTCCCAGTGCTTTCCATCGTCCCCTCATGGTCAACAGGACCCCATGTCCTGAATTCCAACTTTCTGCTGCAACTGAAAACTGGCCTTGGCCAGGCTCACTGCCTCTCTTGCAGGCCTCACCAGTGGAGGCTGCTCATACCTCACAACCCAAGTGCTACACGGCTAAGGTGGGGGGTTGACCTTCTTGGAGTCCCTACTGCTACTTCCTGGCTAGTCCTCTTCTCTCATCTCAGTGCTCCTCTTTTTTGGAGGCTCATGTCATCTGTCTAAACCACTGATCAGAGCATTCACCAAAACCTTTATGACCTGATCATGACTTCCTTCCTTCCAAGGTCATGCCATGATCCGGGGAGTGTTCAAGAATTAACACTTGGAGCAATTTCTGTTGAGCCTCCTGTCCCTGGGGTCAGCAGTGATAGCTCAGGGCAGTGACTGATGGCCCTTAAAATTGCCTGTTCCAAGAAACCATTTCAATTGCATTTGTCATTCTGCAAGCTTCAGTCTAACCCTGTCATTTCTGCATCTCTCTGGCTCCAGTGACCTTCACAGACCTTCCACTTCAGTCACCCATTCCAAGTGTCCAAACTGGACCATATCATTCTTCAAACTACTCTGCCTTAGAAGTATTAAATCCTGCAGCCTCTCTCTAATCTCAGACCCTTCTCCTTCACCTCCTCCTATGCATGCTTCTACTACATGCATTCCTTTTAATCTCTAAGAGACAACTAATTCTCTTATCTCTCTACTTCTCCCAGGTGATCAGCCACCTTTCAGCATCTCTAGGTTTCCTACCCACGTGGCCTCTTCTATCAGTGTCATCCCTCACCTTCTATGCATGATTTTCCTGGCCCACTAGCCTAGTGGAACTTTCTATCAGGTTCTCTACAACTTGGTGTCTTTCTCTGTCTTAGATGGCCTTCTGAGCTCTGCTAAAGAAGATCGATCAGCCATGAAATACAGCCTCATGTAGTGGGGGAACCCTCAATGTCACCTTTGATCATCTCTAATTCTTTATTTTGACCGCATTCATCAACCCCCTTCTACTAAACATCTCTGCGACTGAATGTGTGTTTTTCTTAAACGAGTGCCAGATTTCTGTTCTGTTGTGGCCTGTCCTCCTCAGGCATAGTGAAGGGAGTAGATTTTATTAGTGTTTGTGATCTTGAGAAAATGCAGGAAACTGGACTTGCAGGTTTGCTATAAGAATGGGGAGTAATGGCAGGTGGAGGACTGGATGGGAACATCTTTTTTTTTTCTCTTATTACAGCATAAAACAAATGCATGAATAATGCACATGCAACTGTACATGCTGTTCTGATTGACTATGTCACATATGAACTCTGAATTTCAAAACAAAGGTAAGTTAATTTGCTGGCCAGCAAAGAAGGGCCATGCCAGGCAAGAAAAGACTTCGCCGATTCTCTGCAAGCTGAATTTTGAAGGACCAGATGTAGAAGCAGTAATGGAATTTATTCCCTATCACAAGGGATTTGAGGCATTATGTTTTGATTGGCTTATTCAGAAATGTTTCCTTTTGTTTGGCCAATTCTAGCCTACGTCAAAAAAGTGTAGGCACAGTTTGCAAAGAGATTCCTGGTGGGTAAAGGCTCCATGGGGCTTGAGTCTCTCAGTGGACACCTTTGCCTGCTCATGCTTGGAGTTTTAACACTCTGGAGTGTATTTCTTGGTTCTGGACTTTGGGGAGCTGAGACGTGTTGAGGGCTCTTCCAGATGGTTGGGAAAATGGCACTGACATATGGATACCTGAGGCCAGGCAGATAAATATCTTGAAAGTATCTGTTGTGTTATTCTCTGTGTTTAGTTACCTTTGGTAGTACTCTTAATCTGCTTTTTGTGTAAACCTTTTTAGGGTGGCCAACTGTCCTGGCTTTCCTGGCACTGAGACAGTCCCAATTTCCACCCTATCTTCTAGCTTGGACTTTAATGTCCACTCTTGGGCTGGAGTTCTTCAATGAAACTGGTAGCCTGAGATCAGGATCCTGCTAGCTGTTGTGCTTGGTGGGACATCCCAAGGGCAAGTGGGGGCACAGGTGTGTAGCTGTTAGGGATGCCCACTGGAACACTGTCTGCATTGCTGTCCAGCACATTTCTAGGCCAGGTGTTATTGATGAAGCTTGTATGTTTCCTTTCCCTTCAAGTAGCTCTTCAACTGCAGCCTTTGCATAAATTGTCCTGTTTGCTTGGAACATCCCCTCTGCTTTGTACACACTGTTCCTCCCCCTGCCATCCTCGTCTAACCCTTGTATATCCTTCAGCTCAGTTGTTACTTCCTCAAAGAAGTAAGGCCACCTTCACTTACACGCGCAGGTGAGATTAGGTCCACCTGCTTGCTTCCTAGGCCTCCTGCTTTCCTTTCTTTCTCTCTCTCCCTTCCTCCCTCCCTCCCTCCCTCCCTTCCTCCCTTCCTTCCTTCCCTCCTTCCCTCTTTCTTTCTTTTTCTCTCCTTCTCCTTTTCCTTCCTTCCCTTTTCTCTTTCTTTCTTTCTTTCTTTCTTTTTCTTTCTCTCTCTTTCTTTCTTCTTTCTTTCTTTCCTTCTCTCTCTCTTTCTTTCTCTCTCTTTCCCTCCCTCCCTCCCTCCCTCCCTCCCTTCCTTCCTTCCTTCCTTCCTTCCTTCCTTCCTTCCTTCCTTCCTTCCTTCCTTCCTTCCATCCTTCTTTCCTTTCTCATCTTGGAATTTTTTTTCTTATAGCATTTTGACCTCCTGACCCACTGTAACCTTCATGGGTTGTAGTGGGAGGGAGTGAGGAGGGAAGAGAAGGTGGGTGTGGTCAAACAGTGCACTCAGTTTGGATTTCTCATGCTAGTCTGGGTGACTTACTTATCCAAACAACAAACCCTGTGGGGATGCTGCATCATGAACTGTTTCAAGAAAACACAATGCAGGATGTGAGGCTTGGAGCAATTTCTGCTGAGCCTCATGTCCCTGGGGTCAGCAGTGATAGCTCAGGACAGTGACTGATGGCCCTTAATATTGCCTCTTCCAGGAAACCATTTCAATTACATTCATCATTCTGCACATGCACACATGCATGATTATTTTGGACAGGTTTCTGTTTCTAAAAGTTAATAATACATGGCTACATACATGAATACATTTGGATTATGTGGAAATTAACATATATAACATACACCTCCCTTCCCAGAGCTGGATTGAACTGATTGGGTACTTTCTCCAAGTCTTCTCTCATCCCCTTTGAGATTCTCTTATTAAGTCCTTCTCCTCTGCACCCAGCACTGCACATTTCCTCCTTTGTCTTTTCCACCAGGCTTTGAGCCCCTAGGGGCAGGGACTATGTCTTCTCATCACTATAGCTCCAGATTGTACTCTGCAGCCTGGCACACAGTAAATGCACAACGAGCATATATTTGTTGAAGATTATACCCCTTGTCAAAAACCTTACATGGGTCCTTGTTTCCTCCTCTGAAATAGGCCAACTGCTGACCGGTATTAAAGCCCCTGCACAGCTTGGCCCCAGGTTACCTGTCTTCCCTTATCCCCCATTTCTCTCTGTGTGCCCTGTGCTCTGGCCAGACTGGACTCCATGCCTTTCCTGTTCTGATATTTTCCTGTGCCAAGGGTGTGCAAAGCTCTTTATTGAATGTCTGTGTTTTCTGCGATGTCCAGCTTAGTGCCATCTCTTCCAGGTAGTTTTCAGTGAAGTCCTCAGCCTAACAGCGTTTCTTCCTGCTCTTTGAAATAGTCACTCATGTTTGCTTATGGCCCTAAGGATTCATCTGGGTTTGTAATTATTGACATGGATGTCTTATCCTGTTGGAGTCAGAACAATCTAGAGTGAGTCTGCATGACTTTTCTGCAATTCCCATGGACATGGAATAGCTAGATCTACTTCCAGGAGTGACAAGACTTGAAGAAATTCTAATTAAATTTTTATTTCTGAGTTTGCTTTAAGAAATAAAATAAATTCTTAGGCCGGGCACGGTAGCTCATGCCAGTAATCTCAGCACTTTGGGAGGCCAAGGTGGGAGGTTCACCTGAGGTCAGGAGTTTGAGACCAGCCTGGCCAACATAGTGAAACCCTGTCTCTACTAAAAACACACACACACACACACACAAATTAGCTAGGCATGGCGGCAGGCGCCTGTAATCGCAGCTACTCAGGAGGTTGAGGTAGAATTGCTTGAACATGGGAGGCGGAGGTTTGCAGTGAGCCGAGAGCGTGCCATTGCATTCCAGCCTGGGCAACAAGAGCAAAACTCCGTCTCAAAAAAAAAAAAAAAGGAAAAGAAAGAAAGAAAATAAATTCTTAAAAAAGTTAATTATTCTTTGTGATAATAAAGAGCCTATCTTTATTTCTTTGTGTGTGTGTGTGTGTTGTGTGTGTGTGTGTTTGTAATTATTTCTATTTTTCACTCTTTTCCTACAACTATGAGGAAGTAATAGTCTCTTTTCCAAATACTGTTAGTCCAAAGGCTTGTTTGTAGAATCAGACTGTTCTTTGTTTTGGACCCTGGCTGCTTGCTTCCAATTCTCAACGCTTTCCACGTGGCAGACCACCAACAAGGAATAGTATTCCTAGTCCATTTGGATGAATCCTTCTCTTAATCCCTTCCCTCTGGGATTTAATGCTAACAGGGTTTTTAAAATTTACATTTCAAAATGATTGAGTAAATTTTTCTTTATAATTGGGAAAAGGCAAGATTTTTAACTAAGAATTTTGCTTTTGCGTTAGGTTTACACTGCATTAAGACATATATTTATCAAATAGAGCTATGATATATTGTAAATATACATTAAATAAAGCTATGCTCTATTTAAAAACCTAATTCTGAACACATGGTTCTCATGAAAAATTATAATACCTTGAGTGGAGACTGACATCTGAGCTGATAATAGCAGTAGTTTAAAGGAGTAGTCATTCATTCCATCAATCCCTCAACAAATGTTGATTGAATCTCTGTAATGTGGCATCATGCTGGGTGTATGATACTGTGATGTGAGATAGAATTGTATCCAAAGTAATTCCTGCAATTTCAATCTTGAAACTAGAGAAGAGGAGCTTTTTCTTTTTGAAGGCTAAGATTACAGTTGCCCTTTATTAAGCAACCTGCATGTATAAGAACTGTATGAGATATGCCCTGTGCCTTATAATTACAGTTTACTCTTCTGCTCCTCTGTGTTTGCTTCAGCAGCACATATATTAAAATGAACAATACAGAGAAGATTAGCATGGCCTCTGTACAAGGATGATATGAAATTTGTGATGAGTTTTAAAAAAGACCAGTTAGTTGTAAGGGAAGGGAGAAAAGAAGGTGCGGGAGAAGCGACAGAAGCTAAGCTTCTCTGTATATACCTATCTTACACATTTGGCTTTGGGATCATGCAAATATTTTATATATTTGTAAAGTAAAATTAGATTTTAAAAGAACAATCCCTAAGAATAAAAAATAAAATAATAAAAGCAAAAAAACCTATGATTCCCATTGGTGGTGGTAACCACATAGAGAAGAATTATTCTAATTGACTTTAATACACATGAATTTCACTGAAGGTCAGTATATCCAAGGATAAAAGAACTAAAAATGAGATTTAAAACTTTTTGCAGTGACGTTATTGTTGATGGTAGCATTGGACTTGCTGTTATGAGACTGCTGTGTGGGTGATGTGAGACAAAGCAAATGAACAATACAAATGTGATCATTTGGTTTTTTATTCTGGTAATCTTGAAAATCCGTATTCTTGATATGGGAAAAAGGAGACAGGGAAAAAAGATAGAAGAAATTAAGTGAAAACTCTATAGTCCTAGAATTGAATTGTAAGTATCTGTAAAAACTCCTGAGGTCTTTTATCTTAAACAAAACCAAACCAGGACATATTTTGCAGATCCCTTCACTGAAAAGGCATAATAACAATGAGCAAATGGCCAACTTAATAGCAGTGATCTAGTGCCCAGGTCATGGTCTCTCAACACCATATCCCATTTAAAAGGAACCAGGATTCCATGGCAAAATTACTTATTCTGGGTCTGGAGGTAAAACAATGCAAAATTAGCCTGGAACATTATGTAATTAACAGGTAGCAAGGAAGCTGTCAAGACTACTAGAGTCTCATCAGAAGGACTCAGGAATCAGCTTGTCAACACTTTTATAAGCAGAAATTGGGACAATTTGAAGCCAGGCGCAGTGGCTCACACCTGCAATCCCAGAATTTTGAGATGCTGAGGCGGGCAGATCACTTGAGGTCAGGAGTTTGAGACCAGCCTGGCCAAAATGGTGAAACCTCATTCCTACTAAAAATACAAAAATTAGCCAGGCGTGGTGGTGCATGGCTATATAATCCCAGCTACACAAGAACTGCTTGAACCCGGGAGGCAGAGGTTGCCGCGAGCTGAGATCCTGCCACTGCATTCTAGCCTGGGTGACAGAGTGAGACTCCGTCTCAAAAAAAAAAAAAAAAAATTGGGACAAAATTTGAGCATCAATAAAAGCAAAAATTGCAAAGGACTTAAGCATGTCAACTATGTTTATATCACTAAGTTAATAATAATACTAAAATGCATTAGTCACTGTTGGCGGGTGCTCAGGAATCAACTCATTACATTGAAAACAAATAGAAGGAAAAAACCCAAATATTCATTCTGCCTTTTCTATATGAACAATATCACTGGATAACCAAACAGTAGATGAGGAAAATTTGTCTTTACAGAAATATTTCAGTCAATAAATAAGGAAGGGATGATAGAATGAGAATGTCATCATTTTGCAACTCTAATGAACTGATATATGCATTGAATATCAAAGCCAATAAAGTCGCAAAAAGGGAGACAGCCAAACAGTGTACATCTCTTGATGGAAGAACCCAGTACTACCCATGTAGGATTCTTGCCTTCTATGGTGCTTCTCGACCTCCCGAAAATTGAGGCTGCAGATCTAACTACCTATTTATGAGAATTACAGTGTACAAGGAAACACATTAAACTAAATCATGGGTTTGCAACCACCAAAATCCAGACAGTGGGAAACTTTACAGGACAAACAATTCAATTTCTTCAACAAATAAATTGCAAAAGAAAAAGAAAACTAGATACAGAACCAAAAAGATTAAGTGAGACTTAAAAGATGTATCCACCAACTGCAATGCATGGCCCTTATTTGGATCTTTATGTAAATGAACAAATAAACAGACAAAAAACCTACGACAACACTCTTTATGACATTTATAAGAAAATTGGAAAATTACTATTTTGTTGTCAACTCCTAATTTCTGAGGCATGAAAATGGTATTGTGAATATGCTAAAAAGTATATTTTATGAATACACATAAAAATATTTACTGATTAAATGATGTTTTGTATAGTGGGAGTGGGTGAGTAGTAGAATAAGCTTGGACTTGGGTTGCTGATTGTGGGGCTGGGCTATGGGTACTTGGGGTTCATTAGACTTTTCTGTCTACCTTTATGTATGTTTGAAATCTTGCATAGTAAAAGGTAAAAGATAAAAGTAACAACAACAAAACAGCATCAACAAAACAAAAATGAAACTCAACTTTGCTGTGAATTGGATAGTGTCATTCCATATTATTAATAAGGAAGTTGTGGCTTGGAGGAGTTAACAGCCTCACCAGGACACAATCAGTCAATGGCAAAGCCAATTTCATACCTAGGTCTTTTTCAAGAGAAAAAATATTTGGCCTGGTGAGGTGGCTCATACCTGTAATCCCAGTACTTTGGGAGGCCGAGGTGGGCAGATCACTTGAGGCTAGGAGCTTGAGACCAGACTGACCAACATGGCAAAACCCCATCTCTACTAAAAATACAAAAATTGCTGGGCGTGGTGGCTTATGCCTGTAATCCCAGCTACTCAGGAGGCTTAGGCAGGAGAATCACTTGAGTCTGGGAGGCAGAGGTTGCAGTGAGCAGAAATCATACCACTGCACTCCAGCCTGGGTGTCAGAGAGAGACTCTGTCTCATTTTAAAAAATAAATAAATAAAGAGAGAAAACATGTTCACTTTTTTGCCATACTACATTGCATACCTAAAATCAAATAATGCAACTTCAAAAATATCAAATTCACTAGAAAAAATTAATTAGCAGAAAAGCATTTTACAATTAAACATTTCTTCCATAGATATTTCTTAAATGTTTGGTCCCTGACCTCATTGCCACATTAAAATAAGATATATAATCATATTCAATTAAGTTCAAACTTATGTGTGCAGTAATTTAAAGTTTAATTTATGAGTATTCCATGAGGCTTTGTAAAAGCATCCCCGTGATACTTCACACATTCTGACACCAGAACATGTTTGAGAAATATTGATTTAGCGGTTGGTGACAAAAGGTTTTTAGAATTTTCAGCACACACAAAGGTTAGAATGTGTCAGTGGGCATTACACTCTGAATAGCCATGTTAAGTACTAAACTATTTTAATGACAGTAAGTATGCCCTGCTGTTGGCAGTGAAACTGTGTTACCATTAGCATATTTTACAAGTTGAGTCTATTTTGTGTTCTAACTTGAAGCAGCTTTATTTCCTGCCCCATTACAGGATAGTACTTTTATAATATAAAATAAATGTCCCCAATTCAACTCATTTTAAGACATGGATTTATAATGCCATGAACTTGGGGCAAACCTTTAAAATGTTTTAAAGCATATTTTTTCTTAGTTTTAAACCTTGAATTATTCCACTCATGGTTTTTATGTTAAAAAATATTTCATTAAACTTGCCAAATTTTATTGTAAAATACTTGAATAAGAAGTCTAAAAAATAAATGCACAAGACATTTTGTTCTTCCCCAGGTTCAGATGATGAGTATGGGAAATCTTTTTTCTGTCCAGCTTAGTTAGCAATTTTTTATGTTTTTATTTTTTGTTATATTTTATTTAGAAGCAGCATATGTACTTTTTAAGTTAGCAAAATTGGCCCTACCTGGAATTGGAACAGTTTGGCAGAACTATAGGAAGTTACCCTGAAGTTCCATTTTCTCTGCCAGATGTGATTTTGCCATGACTTGATATCTGTCTGTTAGGCCTAACTCTTGCCACATGGCACAGGAAACCTTATTTTAAACAACCAGAGTTCATCAGCAATCTTATTAAATATCTGGCATGTCTTATCATTCATGAGCATTGATTAGTGTTGGACCTCACAGTCACATTGTCCCATCTGCACACAGGGAGAACTCTGACGCTTCAGACTCAGAAGCCTCTTAGTAAAGGATTTGGGTGAACAAAGTATCTTTCCTGGAGGGTCTCTGAGAGCCCCTTGTTTAACTCCTACTCAGTTATAATCCAGTTCTACATAGATTAACATCTTTAAGGAAGTATAAGCAGTATATCACGGAGCCTAGTACATGTTCCGTAGTTTGAGAGAAGGGGACCTCCAATTCTCTAAACACTCTTAGATGTTGCCTTCTTCTGAAGTAGATTTACAACAAGAAACCTAGGAAACACAAGACACTAGCATATTTATGTGTTTTGTTTGTTTGTTTGTTTTTGGGATGGAGTCTTGCCCTGTTGCCCAAGCTGGAGTGCAGTGGCTCGATCTTGGCTCACTGCAACCTCTGCCTCCTGGGTTCAAGCGATTCTCCTACTTCAGCCTCCTGAGTAGCTGGGACTACAGGTGTGCACCACCATGCCCAGCTAATTTTTTTATTTTTAGTAGAGATGGGGTTTCACCATGTTGGCCAGGCTGGTCTCGAACTCCTGACCTCATGATCCGTCTGCCTTGGCCTCTCAAAGTGCTGGGATTACAGGCATGAGCCACTGCACCTGGCCACAGATTTATGTTTTTAAGAGGACATTGCCTTTATGAAACTGCCTTAAACTCATGAGGCAGGACAGACTGAGATGAGCAAAGATGAAAACAGATGAAAGGCATAGTTTCCAAATGAAATCAAGAGGCGGGAGATGCTGGATTCAGCAGAGAATCAGATTAGTGAAAACAAATTCAGAAAAGTTCAGTTACAGGGGATAAGGACAGGGAAATAAAATCAACGAGGAGACTGTAGCTATGTTGGACAGATCTCAGACATCCAATGTAAGTACTCACAAAAGAGAGAAGACATCAAACGGAAGAGAGGAAATTCAGTCAGTGCTATAAGACAGCTTTGATTTACTAAAAGCTTTTGTGAAAAAAATTCAAAGCTGTCATTAAATATGTGTCAGTTGTAAGATGTATTGCATTTTGATTTCAAAAAATGGAAAAAGATAGGAAGGAGCAAGTTAGAATTTAGGAAATGTAGAAACAGAAAAAATTATGATACAGAAATTGTTATAGGCCTTATCCTCTGAGCCTAAGTAATTCAAATAAACATTAAGTGAAGAGGTTTGAATCAAAACCTATAAACATTACAAATTTTAAAACACTCTTCTGAAGAAATTATTCATGCAAGAGGAAATGAAAAATATAATTACACATTATGTAGAAGATAACAAAAACAAGAGTATTCGTTTCAGAAATTATCATGTAACTACAGTCTATACTGAGAGGACCTCACATTCTTTCAAAAATGTAAACATTTAATATATTCAGTAAGTGATATTGGAACAGTTGGTTAATTTAGAAAAAGTTAATTTAAATTGTTAACATATGTAATAGTAAATTCCAGATGGATTGAAGAGTTAAATAAAAAATTTAACCATAAAAACATAAAAATACCATGAAAGTAAATACTTCCAAATTTCTGATGGAGAAGCTTCAAATGAATGGAAAGTAAAATGTATTGATGGATTTAACTACATAGAAGCCTTAAAATGAATACTTGTCGAAAAACATTCAAATGAGAAGTTAAAGTAAGATAACATGTAATACAAATTTTGTAAAATACCATGTAAAAGACTTTTCAAATGGACAAAAAAGAGATAGTAGATGAATAGGTAAAGGAAAATACTTTACAGTTGTAATAGAAAAGCAAGTGACTGGTTAATAATCATATGGAAAGATTCAACTTTATTTCTAATCAATAAAATATAAACCCAAGCAATGACTAAAAAGCACTCCCCCACCTCCAGCAATTACTTTCAAAAAAAGAAGTTTGCAAACCCAGTGCTAGTGATGGTGATGGGCAGAGATCAAGTTTATATTGTGCTGTTGAATACTGCTAAGTGCAGTGCTTTTGATAAGCAGTTTTGCAACATGTATTAAGAACCTCAGAAATATCTTTAGTTTTTGACTCAGCAAATGTTGTTTCAGGGAATTTCCTGAGGGAATAGTCTAAGTAAAAAGAATGCTTCCTGCAAAAATACATTGATATTATTATTTATAATACTTGACAACCAGAAACAATCTAAATGTTAAACCGTAGGGGAATGGCCAAGTAAATTATGGGATTTCTGAGATGGAATATTACTAATTTTTATTATGCTTATACTTTTGAAATAACAGGAAATGCTAACATGATATCCTTAAGTTAAAAGATCAGGTCACAGAATCACATAGGAAATCTATAATTTTATTTATATGTGAACAGAAAGAGAAACCTCATGAAAAAGCAAAAATAACAGTGGTTATCACTGGGTTGTGGAATTAAGAGTGTTTTAAATTTTCTTTTAAATGTATTCTCCAGGCTTACTACAAATGAGCATATAATACTTTGATCATTAAAATATGATTAAAATATTCCTTCTAAATACTGATGAAGAAGCACTTGGGAAGGGATTAACAGTAGTTAATTAACAATTAAGATATTTTGAAGGTTGGTGGCAATTTTAATACAAAGAAAGGATTGGGGGAATGGACATCCAAGGCTCAATACTTGTTTAATAGTGTCCACTTTTTTCTACTCCTGGTTCTGATTTCCCTTCTTGTTTTTTTTTAATTTTTAAATTTTATTTATTCATTTATTTTTATTTTATTTTTTATTTTTTGAGACAGAGTCTCTGTTGCCAGGCTGGAGTGCAGTGATGCAATCTCGGCTCACTGCAATCTCTGCCTCTTGGGTTCAAGTGATTCTCCCGTCTCAGCCTCCCGAGTAGCTGGGATTACAGGCACACACCACCACACACAGCTAATTTTTGTATTTTTAGTAGAGACACGGGTTTCACCATGTTGCCCAGGATGGTCTCGATCTCCTGACCTCTTGATCTGCCTGCCTCAGCCTTCCAAAGTGCTGGGGTTACAGGTGTGAGCCACCGCACCTGGCCTATTCATTTATTTTTAACATTTGTGGGTACCTAGTAAGTGTATATATTTATGGGGTATGTGAGATATTTTGAATCAGGCATGCAATACACAATAATCACATCAGGGTAAATGGGGTATCCGTCACCTCAGGCATTTATCCTTTCTTTGTGTTCAGTCAAATTATACTCTCAGTTATTTTAAAATCTATAGTAAATTATTGTTGACTGTAGTCACCCTGTTGTGCTACCAGATACTAGATCTTATTCATTTTATCTAACTATATTTTTGTACCCATTAGCCATCCCCACTTCCCCCACCGCCACTATCCTTCCTAGCCACTGGTGACCACCATTCTACTGTGTATCCCCATGAGTTCAAATGTTTTAATTTTTTTTAGCTTCCACAAATAACTGAGAACATGTGAAGTTTGTCTTTCTGTACCTGGTTTATTTCACTTAGCATAAAGACCTCCAGTTTCATCCATGTCATTGCAAATGACAGAATCTCTTTCTTTTTTTATGGCTGAAGAGTACTCCATTGTGTATATGCATCACATTTTTTTTTTATCCATTCATCTGTTCATGGACCCTTATGTTGCTTCCAATTCTTAGCAATTGTGAATAGTGCTGCAAAAAACATGGGAGGGCAGATATCTCTTCGATATACTGATTTCCTTTCTTTTGGGTATATACCTAGGAGTGGGATTGCTGGAACATGATAGTTCTATTTTTAGTTTTTTGAGGAACCTCCATACTGTTCTCCATAGTGGTTGTGCTAATTTACATTCCCACCAACAGTGTATGAGGGTTCCTCTTTCTCCACATTCTTGCCATCATTCATTATTGCTTGTCATTTGGATAAAAGTCATTTTAACTGGAGTGAGATGATATCTCATTGTAGTTTTGATTTACATTTCTCTGAAGATCAATAATGCTGAGTACTTTTTCATATGCCTGTTTGGACTCAAGTGATCCTCTCATCTCAGCCTCTTGAGTAGGTGGGACCACAGGCTTTTTAACTTGATGTGATCCCACTTGTCTTCTTTTGCTTTGGTTGCCTGCACTTGTCGGGTATTACTCAAGAAATCTTTGCCCAGTCCAATGTCCTGGAGAATTTCCCCAGTGTTTTCTTTTAGTAGTTTCACAGTTTGAGGTCTTAGACTTAAGAATTTAATCCATTTTGATTTGATTTTTGTGTATGGCAAGAGATGGGTATCTAGTTTTATTCTTCTGCATATGGACATCCAATATTCCCAGCATCATTTGTTGAAGAGACTCTCCTTTCCCCAGTGTACGTTCTTGGCACCTTTGTTGAAAATGAGTTCACTGTAGAAGTATGCATTTATATCTGGGTTCTCTATTCCTTTGGTCTATATGTCTGTTTTTTATGGCAGTACCATGATGTTTTGGTTACTACAGCTCTGTAGTATAATTTGAAGTCAGGTAATGTGATTCCTCCAGTTTTCTTATTTTTGGTCAGGATAGCTTTGGCTATTCTGGGTCTTTTGTGGTTCCACAGAAATTTTAGTATTATTTTTTCTCTTTCTGTGAAGAATGTCATTGATATTTTGATATGGATTGCATTTAATCTGTAGATGACTTTTGGTATTATGGACATTTTAACGATATTGATTCTTCCAACCCATGAATATGGAATATCTTTTCCTTTTTTTGGTGTGTCCTCTTCAATTTCTTGCATCAACGTTTCGTCGTTTTCATTGTAGAAATCTTTCATTTCTTTGGTTAAGTTTATTTCTAGGTATTTTATTTTATTTGTAGGTATTGTGAATGGGACCGCTTTCTTGATTTCTTTTTCAGATAGTTTGCTATTGGCATATGGAAATGCTACTGATTTTTGTATGCTGACTTTGTGTCCTGCAACTTTACTGGATTTGTCAGTTCTAATAGTTTTTTTGTGTGTTATCTTTAGTTTTTTCCAAATATAAGATCATATCATCTGAAAACATGGATAATTTTACTTCTTCCTTTCCAATTTGGATGCCGTTTATTTATTTCTCTGTCTGATTGCTCTAGCTAGTAATTCCAGTACTACGTTGAATGACAGTGGTGAAACTGAGCATCCTTGTCTTGTTGCTGATCTTAGAGGAAAGGCTTGCAATTTTCCCTTATGCAGTATGATACCAGCTCTGGGTCTGTTATATATGGCTTTCATTATGTTGATGTATGTTCCTTCTATATCTAGTTTTTTAGTTTTATTTTTATCATGAAGGAATGTTGAATTTTATTAAATGCTTTTCCAGCATCAATTGAAATCATCATATGGTTTTTGTCCTTCATTCTGTTGATATGATGTGTCACATTGATTTGCATATGTTAAACCATCCTTGCATCCCTGGAATAAATCCTACTAGGTCATGATGAATAATCTTTCTAATTTATTGTTGATTTCAGTTTGCTAGTATTTTGTTGAGGATTTTTGCATCAGTGTTAATCAGGGGTATTGGCCTGTAGTTTTCTTTTTTCTTTTTTTTTTGTGTCTTTGGTTTTAGTATCAGGGTAATACTGGCCTCAGAGAATGAGTCTGGAAGTATTCTCTCCTCGATTTTTGAGAATAGTTTGAGTAGGGTTAGTATTAGTTCTTGTTTAAATGTTTGGTAGAATTCAGTAGTGAAGCCATTGGGTCTTGGGCTTTTCCTTGTTAGGAGCCTTTTAATTATGGCTTCAATCACATTACTTGTTATTGGTCTGTTCAGGTCTTGAATTTCTTCCTGGTTCAATCTTGGTAGGTTGTATGTGTCTAGGAATTTATCCATTTTTTTTTCTAGATTTTTCAATGTATTGGCATATAGTTGCTCGTAATAACCACTAATTATCCTTCAGATTTCTTTGGTGTCTCTTATAATGTCTCCTTTTTCATCTCTGATTTCATTTGAGTCTTTTCTTTTTTCTTCTTAGTCTGGCTAAGGGTTTGTTGATTTTGTTTATCTTTTCAAAAATCAACTTTTTGTTTCATTGATTTTTTTTGTATTTTTTGTGTTAATTTCATTTATTTGTGCTCTGATGTTTATTATTCCATTTCTTCTGCTAATTTTGGATTTTGTTTTCTGTTGTTTTTCTAGTTCTTTAAGATGCATCATTAGGTTGTTTATTTACAACTTTTCCAGTTTTTGTTTTGGTGTTTATTGCTATAAATTTCTTAGTACTACTTTTGCTGTATTACATCAGTTTTGGTATGTTGTGTTTCCATTTTCATTTTTAATTTCCTTCTTAATTTCTTCATTGACCCACTGGTCATTCAGAAGCATATTGTTTAATTTCCATGTGTTTGCATAGTTTCCAAAATTCCTCTTGTTATTGATTTCTAGTTCCATTCCATTGTGGTCAGAGAAGATACTTGATATGATTTCAATTTAAATTTTTTTTTAAAGACCTGTTTTTGGCCTAACATGTGGTCTATCCTTGAGAACGAGCCATGTGTTGAGGAGAAGAAAGTGTATTCTGCAACCATTGGATGAAATGTTCTGTAAATATCTATTAGGTTCATTTGGTCTATAGTGCAGATTAAGTCCAGTGTTTCTTTGCTTATTTTCTTGTGGATGATCTATCCAGTGCTGGAAGTGGGGTGCTGAAGTCTCCAGCTATTATTGTTATTGGAATCTATGTCTGTCTTTAGCTGTAATACTATTTGTTTTATTTATCTGTGTGATCCAGTGTTGGGTGCATACATATTTATAATTGTTATATCCTCTTGGTGTTTTGACCTCTTTATCATTATATAATGACTTTGTCTCTTTTTTCTAGGTTTTGTCTTGAAATATATTTTGTTTACGTACAGCTACCCCTGCTCTTTCTTGGTTTCCATTGACATGGAATATCTTTTTTCATCCCTTTTTTTCAGTCTATGTGTGTCTTTATAGGCGAAGTGTGTTTTTGTAGGCAACACATCATTGAGTCTTTTTTTTTTATTCATTTAGCCACTCTATGTCTTTTGATTGGAGAGTTTAGTCCATTTACATTCAATGTTATTATTTGTAAGTATGGACTTTTGCCATTTTGTTATTTGTTTTCTGGTCTTCTCCTCGTTCCCCCCGCCCCCTTCCTATTTTCTTTTTAGTGAGGGTGATTTTCTCTGGTGGTATAATTTCTTGTTTTTAATTTTTATATATCTGTTGTATGCTTTTTGATTTGAGGTTACCATGAGGCTTACAAATACTATCTGGTAACCCATTATTTTAAACTGATGACAACTTAACACTGATTGCATAAACAAACTGACAAGCAAAGAGAAAACCAACATAAATTCTGCACTTAAACTACATCCTCCTGCTTTTAAACTTTTTGTTTCTATTTACATCTTATTATACTGTCTATGTCCTGAAAAGTTGTAGTTATTATTTTTGATAGGTTCATCTTTTAATCTTTCTACTCAAGATTTGAGTAGTTTATGTGCCACAATTACAGTGTCATAATATTCTGTGTTTTTCTGTGTAGCTACTATTACTGGTGAGTTTTGTACCTTCAGATGATTTCTTATTTCTCATTAAAGTCTTTTTCTTTCCAGTTAAAGAATGCCCTTTAGCGTTTCTTGCAGAGCAAGTCTGGTGTTGATGAAATCTCTCAGTTTTTGTTTGTCTGGGAAAGTCCTTATTTCTCCTTCATGTTTAAAGGGTGTTTTTGCTGGATATACTATTCTAGGATAAAGGGTTTTTCTTCTCTTTCAGCAGTTTACATATGTGATGTTACTCTCTCCTGGCCTGTAAATTTTCCACTGAGGAGGCTGCTGCCAGATATATTGGGGCTCCATTGTATGCTGTTTCTTTCTCTTGCTGCCTTTAGGATCCTTTCTTTATTCTTAACCCTTGGGAGTTTGATTATTAAATACTTTGTGGTAGTCTTCTTTGGGTTAAATCTGCTTGGTGTTCTATAAGCTTCTTGTACTTGAATATTGGTATTTTTTCTGTAGGTTTGGGAAATTCTCTGTTATTATCCTTTTGAGTAAAATTCCTACCCTAATCTTTCTCTCTACCTTCTCTTTAACACCAATAACTCTTAGATGTCCCCTGTTGAGGCTATTTTTTGATCCCATAGGCATATGTCGTTATTTTTTATTTTTTTTCTTTGTCTTCTCTGTGTATTTTCAAATAGCCTGTCTTCAAGCTCACTAATTCTTTCCTCTGCTTGATCATTTCTGCTGTTAAGGGATTCTGATGCATTCTTCTATTTGTCAATTGCATTTTTCAGCTCCAGAACTTCTGCTTGATTATTTTAAAATATGTCAATCTCTTTGTTAGTTTTATCTGATAGAATTCTGAATTCCTTCTCTGTATTATTTTGGATTTCATTGAGCTTCTCAAAACAGCTATTTTGAATTCTCTGTTTGAAAGGTCACATATCTCTGTCACTCCAGAATTGGTCACTGGTGCCTTATATACTTTGTTTGGTAAGGTCCTGTTTTCCTGGATGGGCTTGATGCTTGTGGATGTTTGTCAGTATCTGGGCATTGAAGAGTTGGATATTTATTGTCGTCTTCTCAGTTTGGGCTTGTTTGTACCCATCCTTATTGGGAAGGCTTTCTAAGTATTTGATGGGACTTGGGTATTGTGATCTAAGTCTTTGGTCACTGCAGCCATACTTGCTTTAATGGGCACCCCAAGCCCAATAACCCTGTGGCTCTAGCAGACTTGTAGAAGTACTACCTTGGCAAAATCCACTGGGTATAAAAACCATACCTCTATGGATCTCAGTTTGAAAAAGACCACTCAGCGTGATGATTCAGGGACAGAAGTGTCAGAGAACAGGCAACGAAGTGGAGTTCTATGTGAGCTGAAGGGCCTATTTTTATCTTTAAGAGATGGATAACATCTAAAAACTGAAATTAAAAACCTGATGCTTAAGAAGAAACATGGAACATTATAGAAGGCACTGGATCACTCAAGAATATTGATTGCCCAGAGAAGGTGCTAGTGGATGAGGCCAGGGGCACTGACTTCCTACGGCACACCAAACCAATGGATTTTACAGGTGGAGGAACTACAGGAATAAACTCTGCAAGTCTGAATCTGAAACAAAATTCCAAACCTGGGATGGTGAACCAGTAAGGGCTAAAGCTAGAGGATCCTCCTCGGAGTGGTGCTCAGGTTGCTCTCCATGGAAAGAGGTAAAAAACGGAGGTCAGATGCTGGAATGGAGAATAGTGTAAAAGAAGCCAAGCACAGTTTCATACCAAAGCAAAACCAGCCTCAAGAACCCAAAAAGTATAATGGTTAGGAGCATTTAGAATCATAATTTTTTTTTTTGCTTTTCAGTTGTGTGAATTTCTTATATATTTTGGATATTAATCCTTTCTCAGATATATGGTTTGCAAATATTTTGTCCTAATATGTAGGTTTCCTTTTCATTCTGTTGATTGTTTTCTTTGCCATGCAGAAGCTTTTTAGTTTAATGCAGTCTCACTTATTTTCACTTTTGTTGCCTGAGGTTTTGGTGTCATATTTGAAAAATTCTTGCCAAGGCTAATATCAAAAAGCTTTCCCATCTGTTTTCTTCTAAGAGTTTTATGGTGGTTTTAGGTCTTACATTTAAGTCTTCAAGGCATTTTGAGTTGATTTTTGGGTATGGTGTAAGATAAGGGTTCAATTTCATTCTTTCAAATATGGCTTTTCAGTTTTCCAAACACTATTTATTGAAGAGACTATCCTTTTCCCATTGTATATTCTTGGCCCCTTGTTGAAAATTAGTTGACCATATATGTGTGGGTTTATTTATGGACTCACTCTTTGGTTTCATTGGTTTATGTGTTTGTTTTTATGCCGGTACCATACTGTTTTGATTACTGTATGTTTGTAATACAATTTGAAATCGGGAAGTATAGTAGGAAGTGTGATGCTTCCAACTAACTGGATTAAAAAATGGGCAAATGGCATTTCTCAAAAGAAGACATACAAGTGGCCAACAGGTATATAAAAAGGTGCTCAGAATCACTAATCATCAGGAAAATGCAAATAAAAACCACAATGACAAAACATCTCATATCTATTAGGATGTCTGTTATCAAATAGACAAGAGATAATAAGTGTTGGTGAGAGTGTGAAGAAAAGGAACTCTTATATGCTGTTGGTGGGAATGTAAATTAGTGCAGCTATTTTAGAAAACAGTATGGAGGTTCTTCAAAAGTTTAAAAATAGAATTACCATATAATCTAGCACTCATGATTCTAGGTATGTATCCAAAGGAAATAAAATCATTGTCTTGAAGAGATATCTGCACTCCCGTGTTCATTGCAGTGTTATACTCAATAGCCAAGATATGGCAATAACTTAAGTGTCCATTGATAGATGAATGGATAAAGAAAATGTGATGTACATACATATATATAACTATATTATTCTTTATGAATTATTATGAATATTATTGAGCCTTAAAAAAGAAGGAAATCTTGCCTTTTGCAACAACATGAATGGACCTGGAGAACATTATGCTAAGTGGAATAAGCCAGACACAGAAATAAAAATACTGCATGATCTCACTTATACGTGAAATCTAAAGATTATATAGCAACAGAGAGTAGAACTATGGTTACCAGGGCCTGGAATGGAGAGGAGATGTTGGTTAAAGGGTACAAGTTGCAGTTATGTAGGATAAGTGACTATAGTTAATAATGCTGTATTATATACTGGAAATTTGCTATGAGAGTAAATTTCACCACACATACACAAAAGTAACCATGTGAGGAGATGGATATGTTAATTTGCTTGACTATAGTAATCATTTCACTATGTATATGTATATCAAAACATGTTGTACCTCTTACATATGTACAGCTTTTACTAAAAGAGAATCACAACAAACCCATTGCTTTGATAGTAATTGGTGTTCCCAAAAATGATTCTGAGTACTCAGAAGGGGTTAAATTATTTTCTAGGTACCTTATTTCCAGACTGTAATGTGTGTTTTCCATTTAAAAAGTTAAGCTAAAAATAATACACTAAAGGGCATCCTTTATTACCTAGAAAATAACTAAGTGTCCTAATTCTGTCAGATAAGTGAGTCAACACTGTATATTTATCTGCCTAACAGATGCTTCCTTTGTCAGTTCAAAACATACACGAGTAAAAGTGGGATTTAAAGGAACAGCTTGGAATGAATGGTATTCCTTAAAATTTTGATTTTCCCAGAAAATTCAATTCTGGTCAAATAATGATGGGCAATAATATATACCAGGGCTATTGCTTTGACATTTATTAATGAATTTGGATTACAAGAAATACTCTAGAAATCTATTAGAAACTATATAAACAATATTCAGCTCCGTCTTAACTAGTTGATTACATTCCATAAAACCATTATTTTTATTCTGTTAACATTTCATGGAAATGGAATTTATTGAATTTGCCTCATTTGTGCTAGATTATCTTTCTACCTCATACACAGAGTTGAATTTTCATCAGAAAGTCACACATACCTGTTTATCTTTTTTTTGTGTTAAAGGGGTATGTTTCTTTAGAAACCACCAGCTTAGGATATGGTGTCATTCCGAATGTGATTCCTGTCAGACTACAGTGAGCACAGGTAATGGATATTGTCATAAATGACATTTGGTTCATTAGAATCTGTCAAAATGGGCTGGGTAAATTATGGCTGTTGGAAAGAGCACAATACTGCATTGTATTGGGGAAACACACTTGTAAGGAATTCCTGAGCTGGTATTTATTACAACCTGCCACATCATTTCCATTTTCTGCGTTTCATTAAATTTACCGTCTGGGTGTAATCACAAGAGTGAAATGGAAAATGTAATGTAAAATATCTCCTTAAACCCTCCGAAACAAAAATGAACTGAATCATCCATTCAATCAAGACAAGTTGAACACCTACTATACACCAACCCTCTGCAATAAAGTGAGGAACAAGACAGTTTCTGTTTTCAACTAGGCCAGAGCCCAGCAGGGGAAATGAATGGACAAAACTAATCCTAATGTGATACTATCGTAGAGGTGTTGACAGAGACTATAGAAGTGGAGAGGAAGGTTCTCTTCCTGGGGGTGAGAGACTTAGTCATGGGTGTCTACAAATTAGGTACTGACCCTGTTGGGTAGAGACTGTGAGTCACAGCTTCTCAATGTGATTGGAATTCTGGGGCTGGTGCTAGGTTCATTGTCCTTTGGCATTTTTGTGGGCTGTGTGCATTACATGGGTGGAATTTAATGTCATTTTAACTCACCAGAGAAAGTTTGTGGGTCTAGAGGTTTGGAAAACAACTCGCTCTGTAATATGCTGCATTTTAGTGCAAATCTTTCAAATGATCGCACCGTACTTGCTAATCTTTGAAGGAAGCTCTCTCATTGTCTGAAGAAAATGGTGCTGATTAAATTTACAGGGAAATGACTTTATTTAAAAATCTCCTCTAGTTTGTTGACAGCACTCATGTTTCATAAAATAGGGGACATGATCCTGAATTTCTTATGAATAAAAAATTATTAATTTTGACATCTACTTTGAATGACTTAGATAATTTATTTGGCGTAGTGCCCAGTAAAAGCATGGAAGTGACTTGGACATCAACCACAAAATGGCCCAGGGACCCCTTCCCACTGGATAGACATCTGGAGTGGCGTATAAGGAATAGACAATGCAGGCGGACATTTAATTAAAGATTGGTATTCAGACAGGAGGGAAGCGTGGTGAGTCTCTCAGCGTAAAAGGAATAGTGAGTCTCTGAGACAAAAGTAATTTTTTGTGTTTTATAATGATGCTTTGCAGCTTGAAACATTTTAGCTATAAAATATAGACTATGAACTCATAATGGCATTAAGTCCAGATAGTAATTTTTATGGTAACAATTTATGATGTATTTTTGTGGGTTTTTTAAAGGGGAAAAGTCTTTAGCATTTAACATTTTGCAATTTAAAAGATCCCTCTCTTGAGCCTTCAGAACCAGAGTGAACACAAAAATTGTAAGATTTTATTGAGTTACCTATTATGTGAATCTGGATTTGTAGACATTATTTTGATAGTTAATGACACTGGCAAGAATCATGATCTAAAACAAAACCATGTTAACTTTTTTGTTTTAAATTTTCATCCACGAGTTGTCACTGTGTTGCTATTGGCGTTACCAGGACACAGCTAGGAAAGCCAGGGTTGGAAGTGCAGGTTCCCTGTGTTTGCAGATGTTCATGTAGGAGTTCCTTGACCAAATAGCTGTAGCTATTCAGCATCCCAGCACTTGTGTGCCTGCTTTGTGATGAGCTGCCCTGCTGACTCACACCTGCCGGTTCAGGTATGGGTGTAGCCATTTCTGGGAGGGTTGATGCTCAGCAAATAGTCTTAAAGGCACAAAGGAATGAGAACATTTCTCTCCAAACCATAAACCATCGTGGAGCCTAAGGAGACTGAATTTCCTTTTTAGACCCCAGAGGACATTATGCCCAGATTGCCCCCAGGGGTCACTCTCAACTTGGGGATGATTTTTGCCGATGGTGGAAGCATATATTCTCTGGATTCTCCTCTGCTAGTGGGGAGGGCTAGTGGGGAGGGCTGGGGTTCTCATGTTTGATATGGCATCTTGAGATGGTCATCCAGCCTCTCTTTGAACACCGACAGAAAGTAGGGAACCCGAACCTCCAATACTAGTTTTCAGATATGATTATACTATTGTCTGAGCACCACCTGTAGTTATAATAGTTCATCTAATGGATAGTAAAACTCTATCAGGCAGCCTCACTATGCAAATCTTGTAGAATAAGAGTATTTTTTAAAATTAAATCAACTATTAAACAAAGCAGTCTATCAGAAGAAAGAAAATTTAACCAGAAATAAAATAAACCAGAAGTAGGTGACAAAGAGAAGAATAAAGGTATCTGATAAAGCCAGGAATAAGACTAAAATAAAAATACACACCATAGAGCTCTCCATACTTACTACAGGGGCACAGATTTGATCTGAGCTTTCTAGCAGCCAACTGGGAGAGAGAAACACAATCAGTTGCAGAAGTCACAGATTCATAAGATAATAAACTAACAGTGTTTCTCAGGAGTAACACAACTGTTCCTTATTTTAACAAGGAAAAAGTTACTGATTTCAGTAAGAAAGTAGCCTTAGCCCACAAAGATGAGGAACTTGACTTTGAAAGGAAATATTTCAATGTTGGGTCTCTTTAATCTTCTTTCCAGATTCATAGCCTGAATAATTATTTTCCAGAAGCTTCTCCCATGAAGAATTTCGTTTTAAGTATTTATAAGGTCATCTTGGGGGATCAGTGGGTGATTTTTAATACACTAAAGCATACAATTTTTTTGCTTGTGTTGGTAATCTCACTAACTTCAAGGTTTTTTTTTTTGTTTTGCTTTTTGTTTTTGCCACTGAGCAGTTTTTGTCAAGTCAGCTACCATCAGGATCAAACACTTAGTACAGTAAATTGGATTTGGATATCCATTAACTGCTGGTGACAAAAGAGGAAGCCCCACGTTTAACACACGTAAAATAAAATTTTAAGGAGTTTCTGGCTAGAAAGAGGCTACCAATAAAGTCTGAAAATGCCCCAGTCTCTGCTACTTGAATCTAATTACATGACAGAAGAGATTTGGGAAAGATAAGCCTGCAGTGAAAACAAGGGAGAAATAATCCTGTTTGCTCTGCAGTAACCATTCTAAGGACAGGAGAAAAAAAAAGAAGTTGACTAAACTTATTATACTCAATATTGCCAAGATACCAATTAGCAACATAAGTACAAATTTTCCTCAGATTCATCCAACATACCACCCTGTGTAATAAGCTAGTGTTCATAAACAGGGGAAAGTGGTTCTTCTATTCCTCAGCAGTCCTGGTGGGATTACACTGGATTTTTCTGTTAATTCTGGCCTTTGGCCCCTTTCCAATATTAACTGTGCCATGGAGTATAGAATATTCAATGATTAAATAATTATAATTTAAAAATTAGACCATGTCAAAGAAAATAAAATATTAGGCATTTTTAAGAATTTAAGACAAGACACGGACTTTGGATCAAGATGACAGCTAATAATTCTGCATCTACTTCATCGCATATGGCAAATCTCATGAAATGACCTCAAAGTTGTATAAAGAACAATATCTCTGTGATAGCCCTGGAAAAGAAGACAAAGTTGTACCAACAAACTAAAAAATCTGGGAAATTCTTAATGGTTAAAAAGTGGGCAGTTTATATACATGGATAAATAGGATTATAGGAAACTAGCCCAAAATACATTCAGGAGGAATTCTGTGGTGGAAGCCATTCTGAGAAGTCCCAAGGACTGAATCAGCAATTAAAAAGGAGGTGAGAGGAGAGAAATTGGCATGTGGCCCTGTTGGAGCTGAGCAGTGCATGACAATTGTATTCTTTCCTAGGTAGGTAGCGGGTAAGTGGAAAACAAGGGCCAGAGAATAATTCATGCTCCAGGTAGCCAGAGACCTCTAGGAGAGATGGGAAGCCCCCAATCTAGAAGATACATTACCAACATATTCTTCCAGACCATAGTCCTCCCACTTCTCCACGACCACTACAGGCTATAGTAAACAGTTTTGTCAAACAAACGGATACTTAAGTACAAAGAGAAGAAGACAACCAAGACACAATACCCACCCTGGAAGAGGAGGACCAAACACAACAGAAGAGTTAACACCCAGAGAAACAGAGCTACCAAAGGAAACAGAAGAATATTTTAAAGTATAGCTAATTACTATCCTTATGTAATGTTAAGGAAACTATTACATTATGGAAAAGAAACAATTAGATATTTTGTACACTAAAAATTTGATCATGAAATCATAGATTGGCTGATAAGCAGCATGGAAATAGGTATAGGTCATGTTAGTGAATTGGAAAATTCAGCACAGTGTAAAAAGGCTTAGAAATGGGAAGTGTGGGGGAAAATAGAGAAAATTCTAAGATATATCTAGGAGTAGAAAGATGAGACAAGGGAATGGAAGGAAGACTATAATTGATATGGTTAGGTTTTGTGTCTCCTCCCAAATCTCATCTTGAATTGTAATCCCCAGCTGTCGAAGGAGGAATCTGGTGGGAGGTGATTGGATCGGGGGCAGTTTCCCCCATGCTGGTCTCATGACAGTGAGTTCTCACGAGATCTGATGGTTTTATAAGTGTTTGGCAAGTTCCTCCTTTGTTCACTCTTCTCTCTTGCCTGCCACCACGTATGACATGCCTGCTTCTCCTTCTGCCATGCTTATAAGTTTCCTGAGACCTCCTCAGCCATGCAGAACTATGAGTCAATTAAAACTCTTTTCTTTATAAGTTGCCCAGTCTCGGGCAGTTCTTTATAGCAGTGTGAGAATGGACTAATACAATAACCAAACAATTGAAGAAAACCTCGCAGACCTGGAGAAATACACAAATCTTCAGATGAAAAGAGTCCAGAGAGTATCAATTGGGATGAAAACACAAACATATACATACCCCGATACATCGTGTTAAAATTTAAGAATGTTAAGAATTAGGAGAAATATCCAGAAAACACTCATATTACAAAAAGCAAATTATCCTCTTTTGTTTATGACAATAGAATTGGTGTCAGACTTTCTGCTAGTAATACTTTGTATTAGAAGACAGAGACACTATTAAGCCCTGAGAAAAACGAATTTTAATTTATAATACTGAACTCACCTACACTGGCTGTGTTTCAACTATGAGAGTAAAATAAAAATATCTGTTCAAGTACTACAAGATGATTACCCAAGACTGTCTCCGAAATAATTAATCCAGAGTATACCTAGCAAAGCAATAATAACAACAAAAACAAGAATCTAACAAGAGGAAAACATGAGGTGCAAGAAAGATGGATGAACAAAGAAACTGGTAAAGCTTGGAGTTAAGTTCAATTTTAAATTTAGAAAAAAATGGACCAGGTAGTATGTCAGATAGTTCAAAATTCAGAATGTATAAAGGAGTATTTATAAATCTTTCTCACCCACTTTCCCCAATCAGTAGGTTTCTCCTCAGAGGAAGCCAATGTTATTAATTCTTGGGTCTCCTTTTAGAGATATTTTATGTGTATATAAGCAATTTAGCATCTATATGTATGTATGTCACTTACACTTTTTAAATTAGATGGCAGTATACCATATTTTGAACCTTCTAAAATTCTGTGAAGATTTGTCAAGGCTCTGTTTCTTTTGTTTGTTTGTGGCAAGGATATAGATACTTATTACCCTAGACACAGAGAAGAAATTTGTTTAATTTATTTAATTATAAAGTTGTTAAATTTTATTAAATATGTATGTTAGAAGAATGAAATAAGAGGCCAGGCATGGTGGCTCATACCTTTAATCCCAGCACTTTGGGAGGCTGAGGTGGGTGGATCACTTGAGGTCAGGTGTTTGAGACCAGCCTGGCCAACATGGTGAAACCCTATCTCTATTAAAAATACAAAAAAATTAGCCAGGCATGGTGGCAGGCACTTGTAATCCCAGCTACTTGGGAGGCCGAGGCAAGAGAATCTCTTGAACCCAGGAGGTGGAGGTTGCATTGAGCCGAGATTCTGCCACTGCATTCCAGCCTGGGTGATGGAGCAAGACTCCATATCAAAAACCAAAAAAAATGAAGAATGAAATTAGTTATTATTTCCAGTCCACAAGAAAAAAAATAAAATAAAATAAAATAAAGAAAATATGATCATTTCAACAAAATGCAGGATTAAAAAAACAAGAAACCAGACAAAAAATGTGGTCAAAGGAAAACAAAATAAAATAGCAGAAAAATCTAAATACCCCAAATTACAGTAAATGTATATGAGTTAAATGTCTTCATAAACATGTAGACTCTGAGATATGTTTAAAAACAATAGCTAAATGCTTTTTATAAGGGGATACATAAAATCATGCAGAAGGATGGAAAATAAATGGATGGTAAAACATGGATCATGCAAGTGTAAACTAAAATAAAGATTATATAGCAATATTAGTATTAGAAAAATAGAATTTAGGGCCAAAGATATTAATCTGGATAAAAGATTCTTGCATTTCATACAGGTTGAGCACCCTGAAACTTTTTGTACATTGACATGATGCCACAATGGAAAATTCCATACCTGATGTCATGTGAACGGTCACAGTTAAAACACAGTCAAAACTTTGTTTTATTCACAAAATAATTTAAAATAGTGTAAAAAATTACATTCAGCCTATGTTTATAAGATATACATGAAACATAAATGAATTTCATGTTTAGAATTGGGTGCCATCCCCAAGATATCTTTTTACGTATATGAAACTATTTCAAAATCCAAAAAAAAATCTGAAATCCAAAATAGTTCTGGTCCCAAGCATTCTGGATAAGGGATACTCAACCTGTACTATTAAAAAATAGTCATGGATTGCGTCTCCCCTGCACTTCTTGGTAGTCTGTTAGTGGGAGATCCTTGTCACCAGCCCTTCACCTCCTCCAGTGCCAAGGAGCCCTAGAAGTCCCCATCATGCATGAGTACATCTCCATCCACATTTGCTGGGCTGGTGTCCAGATTGGCAATGCCTGCTGGGAGTTCTACTGCCTGGAACACAGCATCCTGCCTGACGACCAGATGCCAGTGACAAGACCAGTGGGAGAGAAGACGCATCCTTCAACACCTTCTTCAGTGAGATGGGTACTGGCAAGCATGTGACCAGGGCAGTGTTTGTAGACCTGGAACCCATGGCTGTTGACAGAGTTCACACTGACACCTATTGTCAGCTCTTGAACCCTGAGCATTGCATCACAGGTAAGGAATACCTATGCCAGTAACTGTGCCGGTGGCCACTTACACCATTGGCAAGGAGATCATTGACCTCGTCTTGGACTAAATTTGCAAGCTGGCTGACCAGTGCACAGGGCTTTAGGGTTTCTTGATTTTCCACAGATAATACATGCTCATTTTAGACACTCATGGAACACTTACAAATATTGATTGGGTATTAGTACACAAAAAACTCAGTAAATCTCAAAAAGCAGAAATCATATGGTTTATTTTCTCCAACCTTAGTGCAATAAAATTATACATTTACCACCAAAAAGTACTCAAATCACACCAAATCTATCCATTTGGAATTTAAAAATACCTTTTTATGGGTTGATGAAGAATCCAAATTAAAATTACTAATTATTTGGAAATGAAAGATGTAAGAGAACTGCATATCAAAACTCATTGGATTTTGCTAAAGCAGTATTAAGAGAAAACTTTATGACCTTAAAGACAGGGAAAATTGAAAATAAAAATAACCACATTCAACTAAAAAGTATAAAAGACAGCAAAATAACACAAACGGACATAAAGATAAGAATAAAAAAGATGCAATAGAGTAACGGCCACAAAACCACAGTATACCTCATCAGTATAGCAAAAAGCTCTTCCTTTGAGAAGACCAATACAGTATAACATCTTTTGACAAGTCTGACACAAATAATAAAAAGACACAAATAAATATCAGACAAATTCTATAGATTCACATGATATAGAAAGGATTATAAATTATGAGCAGTTACTTTGTATGAATTTATAACAATTGAATATTTAGATAGAATGAATACTTTAAAATCCAAATTCCTAAAAAATACAGAAAAACTGGGTAAACCAATATATGTAGAAAAAATTGAAAAGGCAGCCAGCTGTTTATTCCTTAGAAAGACACCAGGCCAACATATTTTTCTATGTGAATTGTAACAAGCATTCAAGAGGACATGTATTTCCTATGTAATATTAGCTTTTCTGGAATGTAGAAAGAGATAGAAAGCTTTCCAGAAGACTGGTATAATACAGATACTGAAACATCAAAGATAGCACAGAAAAATAAAATTATACTCCAATCTCATGGACCAAATACTAAAACTCTAAATATATATTAATAGATAGCAATTAGTTAATATTATATTAATTATAATACACTAAATATTATATTAATAAATATTAATAGATGGAATCCCACAGGGTGTTTTTTCTTTTTAGGTTACTGCATCTTCACCAAGTGTGGTTTTTTCCTAGGAATGAAAGGATGGTTTAAACTTCAGTCATTAACATTAAAAAGTCAGTCATTAACAGATTGTGGAATTATCTCAACAGCTGTCATGAAGGCACGTGATGAAATTCAACATAGAACACTACTAAATTTTTTTAATGCTTGAGGACTATAAGGAAAAAGTTTCCTAATGAATATCATCCACTAGCACCATACTTAGTATTGAAACATTTCATTGAAATGAGGAAAGACATGTGAAATTATAAGAAATAAGTGGTATTAAGACTGTAAAGGAGGATACAAAACTGTAATTATTTGAAGAAATTATAATCAATCTAAACATTTAAGAAAACCAACTCAAAAACCATTGGAACTATAAGGTGAGATCAGCAAGGTGGATATAGATCAGAATATATTTGGCTGGGTATGGTGGCTCATCCCTGTAATCCCAGCACTTTGGGAGGCTGAAGCGAGAGGATCACTTCCATCTAGGAGTTTGAGACCAGCATAGGCAACATAGCTAGACCCCTTATCTACAAACAAAATCAAAAATTAGCTAGACTACTTGGGAGGCTGACGTGGGAGGATCGCTTGAGTTTGAGGCTGCAGTGAGCCATGATCATGCCACTGCATTCAGCTTGGATGACAGGGTGAGACCCTGTCTCAAAATATGTATATATTCAATAGAGTTACTATAATAAATGTATATCGAACCTTCTGCTTTCTAAGTAGAAAATATGTCTTCTTTTAAAAAACCCTTGGGAAAGTTCGAAAAAAATTACTATATATTAATTCACAAGGAAAAGTCAGTAAATTTCTCATATAAGAGATATATACAATTTTATCTTAATGCAAAAATTAGAAATATGTAACCAAAGTAGCAATTAAATAAATCTAGCCACTTGTAAATTGAAATAAACCTCTCTCCTAAGCCAGCAGTATTGAATCAAAGGAAAAATAAAATGTGTGATTCTAAGTTATTCAGAAAACCATGAAAATGAAAAATTTTCAAACAGCCTTATGTTAACCTTAGGCTTACAGCCTAAGCTTTAATTAGAGAAAACTTCCTATTAAAGAATGAATAGAAATAAACTAAACTTCCAACTTATGACAGTAGAAAAACAAAATATACCTAAAGGAATTCAGAAGAAAAAAATTAATATAAACAAAAGCAGAAATTCAGTTAATTAGAAGAGTTAAAGCTTTCAAAAGGCTAAATTTAAACCTAGTCATTTGGGAACAACAGTAACAAAATGGATAGACTTCTAATTAGTTCTACCAAGAAAGAAATGAGGAAATACAGGTTCACAAAATTAGGAATAACCAAGTGGAATAAAAGATAAAAATAATAAAGTAATTTTTGGACAGCATGATTTTGTAGTTTGTAATCATTTGTGCTTTTCTTGTCTGGAAGCTAGTAAGATTAGTTCTAAATCTTTCTGTTTCAGAAATTTTGACTGGCTGTGTTTATGGGAGAGTTCCTTTCCAATGATTTTGCCTAAAATGGGGTCACCTTCTTCGGTCTGTGTTTGTAGATCTGACTTCAGCTTGGAAAAGTTTCTCACTATTACAATTGGAAACACTGTCTATATATTATAATGAAAACTGTTCTTTGATCTCCACATCTGTTATTTTCTCTCTCATTGTTTTAATTTCATTATACTTTCCATCAGCATTTGCAGAGAAGCTTTAATATTTGCCTGTTTCTGTGTGATTCAGATTTTTGAATTTTCTGTTCTGTTATTGCTTATATCTAGTACTTACATTCCTGTGTTATTGTAACTGCGCTTACCTCCTAACTTTACTACACTAGCTCCCTCTTAGCAAGAGTCTGTGACCTCATCATCCCATTTTTATCCCTTCTATCATTCTGTCCATTTGCCTTGCATTTAAAAGAGCAAAATCAGGAACCTGTCTAACATTTACTTTTTCTGATTTGAATAAATGCTTTAAAAAGTGTGCTTTCCAGCACTTTGGGAGGCCGAGGCGGGTGGATCATGAGGTCAGGAGATCGAGACCATCCTGGCTAACAAGGTGAAACCCCGTCTCTACTAAAAATACAAAAAATTAGCCGGGCGCGGTGGCGGGCGCCTGTAGTCCCAGCTACTCGGGAGGCTGAGGCAGGAGAATGGCGTGAACCCGGGAAGCGGAGCTTGCAGTGAGCCGAGATTGCGCCACTGCAGTCCGCAGTCCGGCCTGGGAGACAGAGCGAGACTCCGTCTCAAAAAAAAAAAAAAAAAAAAAAAGTGTGCTTTCCCTTGCCTTTTGAGGAGTATACCATTTTGTTTTCCCTGCACAAAAGCATCAAGGTTTGTTACAAGTTTGACATTTTTGACTGTCTGATTTCTCTGTCAGCCGTGGCTGGGGAGGGGAGGCAAGTAGCCACAGGGTAGAAGAGTAACCAGAGTCTAACACTGTGCCCGAAGATATGAGAATAGACAGCAGTTGTATGAGGAGATTGGATGAAGATATTTAAAGGGCTGTATTTCAATCTAGTGTAATAATGGATGTTTATACCAATAATGGAGTCAACAAGAAAAGATTTCCTTAACTCATATATCTTTTTAATTTTTTTTTTTGATATGGCGTCTGTTGCCCAGGCGGAGTGCAGTGGTGTGATCTCGGTTCACTGCAAGCTCTGCCTCTCAGGTTCACACCATTCTCCTGCCTCAGCCTCCTGAGTAGCTGGGACTACAGGTGCGTGCCACCACTCCCGGCTAATTTTTTGTATTTTTAGTAGAGACGGGGTTTCACCGTGCTAGCCAGGCTGGTCTCGATCTCCTGACCTCGTGATCTGCCTGCCTCGGCCTCTCAAAGTGCTGGGATTATAGGCGTGAGCCACTGCGCCCGGCCATATCTTTTTTATTTTAAAAAAAGGCAAATTTTCTTCATGTGGGAAGTTCATTTATATAGCATACTTAATTCTAATAGTTCCAGAAAAAGCAGGGCTTTGCTATATAGAGGAAGATAAAACCACACACGTGACTTAATATTTGCCAAAGACACCAAAAAATATTTTTTTCTAATTTACATACTTCAGATTCCATGATTTTCTCATTCTCACTCTGTGTAAAGTAGAATTTTCTATCTCCATTAGCTAAAATGAGCAAGAATTGCCATATGGACACTCAAGTACATGTTGTCTCTGAGCATTAATTTTCTTTTAAAAAATTAATTAATTTTAATTGGCAAAAATTGTATATATTCATGATGTACAACATGATGTTTTGAAATATGCATACATTGTGGACTGGCAAAGCTAATTAACATGTATTACTTCACATACTTATCATTGTTTTTATGGTGGGAACACTTAAAATCTCTTATCAATTTTCAAGAATCCAATACATCATTATTAAGTATAGTCACCTGTGTTGTACCGTAGAGCTCTTGAATTTATTTTACCTATCTAACTTAAATTTTGTATCCTTTGGCCAAATCTCCCTACTACCCTCCCCACAAATGAGCATTAATTTTCAGTCAGTGGTTTGTCAGCAGGACTGTCGTGTTTGGGGTGTCTTACATATGCCTTCCTAGAGAAGCCATTTGTGTAATGTCAAAAGAGTGTGTTTGTTTATTATATCGATGGGGACAGGAAGCAGGGAAACTCTGGGCATAAGAGGGCGGGTCCCTGGCAAAGGCCCCACCCTCAAGCCTGGAACCCCAGCCCAAAGTGAGAACATGCATTCCTGTTTTCCTCCTCGAATGTTTGCCTTTTCCAAAACCACCCATGGCCTGCCCTGCCCCACATCCTGGACCCCTAAAAACCCCAGGCTCAGCTGGCAGAGAGCAGAGAAGAGGAGAAGCAACTGGACATCAGAGAGAAGCGGCTTGACTTCGGCTGGGCGGCTTGACAACGTTGCTTCAGAGAGGAGTCCACATGGGGAGTATCACCTTCCTGGTCCATCCCCTTTCCAGCTCCCTTTCCTGATGAGAGACACTTTCGTCGGCAATAAAATCCTCCACTCTTCAATTCATTCATGCAACCTGATTTTTCCTGGACGCTGGACAAGAGCTTGGGTGCCATTTGTGTGGATGCTAAAGGCTGTCATGCTGACCCTCTGTCCTCATTAGCGGAGAGCAACCACCTCACATGAAAAGGCAGAGAGCCCACTGAGTGGCATAACACTTAAGCTGGCAAAGCTAAAAGAGCACTGACTGTAACAGTCCTTCTGGGGCTTCAGGGGTCATAGGTACTTCCTCCTAGACACTGCTGTGGAGTCTGAATGGAGTTTTGCTCCTGCCAGCACCCAAAAGCACTTGCCCCGGCTCCTGCACCTGCTCACCTGTGTGCTTCCTTCCATGAGGGGTTGAGTGCAATAGGTTCCAGAGAGTGCAGTCCACCCCTGCCAGCACCCAAGCGACTGGCTAGTTCTAGCACCCATGCACTCCAGTTCCCAGTCGAGAAGGGGGTCAAGGAAACATTTTCTGTTTCAAGATGAAGCTATCTACATTAATTCAATGAAGTGAAAAGTACATAGAGTGACACTTGGTTTATCTGGTGCCATTGGGCAAAATGTGTTATGAATAAATGCAATCTCATAAGTGCCTGTTGTCATGGAAAGAGGCTGTCTTTGGAACCAGACAAAGCTGTGTCAGGTACATTATCAAATGACTTTCACATAATCTCTTCTTTAATTCCACAACAACCCTCTATCAGTTATTAGTGTTGTCAGCTGCAGGGAACATAATGCCATGCCAAAGGCTGTTCTAACAAATAGGCCTGGGACAGTGGCTCAGTGATGCTCTCAAAATCCAGGCTCCTTTCCCTCTGTTCTTTGTACTCAGTGGGTTGGCCGTTCCTCTTATGGTTGCAAAATGGCACTGCAGCTTCAAGCACCACATTGAATTCCAAGGAAGAAAGGAGAGAAGAGGTATAGAATTGCCTATGTCCCTTTGTCTTATTAATCAAGAATGTGATGTTTGCCCAGAAGCACCGACAGAAAATGACCAGTTTTCCCATCCTCCCTTGCAGTCTGAGTGGCCATGTGAACCAGTTCTGGTCAATGACACGTAACTGGTTCACATGGCCACTCAGAGTGCAAGGGAGGCTGGGAAAGTGTGAACACTATAGTCTTGTTGACTTATGATTCACCACCTGGGGTTCTGTTAGCAAAAAAGAAAGGAGGGTGTGGATATTGGGTGTTAACTATCAGTGTCTGTCACAAATCCTCTGTTTGCTTTACCCATGAAAATGTTCGTATTTAAATACATAACTGGATCAAAATCACCAGCTCTTGAATGACAGAGTTAATACATCAACTGCGGTCTATTGCTCATGTTCCTGTTTGCAGTTAACTGGGAACCTTTTGGGTAATGTGAATGATATTTACAATGATAGTTACATGATGAAGCTAGTCTCTTGTGAAAACAGTATACTTCGGGTTGGAAGTAGTTTCTGATTTTTTAAAAAGTGAAGTCAGCCAGGCATTGTGGCTCACACCTGTAATCCCAGTGCTTTAGGAGGCTGAAGTGAGAGGATTGCTTGAGCCCAGGAGTTGAGGCTGCAGTGAGCCATGATTGTACCACTGCACTCCAGCCTGAGTGACAAAGTGTGACCTTGCCTCTTAAAAAAAATGAAATTTTCTTACTTATTAAACTGATGGAATAAATACTTTTCAGTTTGTACTAATGTAAGGCAATAATGTAATATATGGCAATAATATAAGGCAAAGCTTTGCTATGGATTTTCTATGGGGAGTGCGAATAAAAGGATTAGAACTTAGAACTTTCATATACTTTACCTCTGTGTGGACATCGAGAAAAATGCCAAGACTAATAGAAGTGATGGGTTAGATGGGGTTTAAGAGAAGGCTGCCCAGATGATATGGTGTTAGGTGTCACTTGGAAGTTAGGTTAGATAAGGAAGTGTTGGGCTGCCCTCTTGCTGCAAGTGTCTGAAATCCTAGTTAGCTGAGAGCCAGTTCTGGCCATTTCTGAGGTTTGCTGCCTCCCTAATCCCACACTTGCATCCTGTTCCTGTTTTGCTTTCCTCTGCTGCTCGTCTTTCACTTTCTCTTTCCTCACTTGGGAAGAGTGTTGAAACAACATTTCATTATTTGGCACTGCAAGGCAGTAGTAGTGTCCCCACTTTGGTCAGTTTCTGCTCTGGCAGGAGAAATGGTTTCAGTAAGTTTTTCCATTTCCTATTTGTTAGACTTCCTCTCAGGTACCCATCCAGATCTGTCCACAAGTGTGAGAGAAGGCTTGGACGCTGTTCCTCTCACCATTTCAGAGCAGTAGTGGAAGTGACCCTGTGCCCTGGCTGAAGGACATTCTCCAAGGTCAGCTTTTAAGTGTTCCCCTGGAGGACGAGAGGATTTATCTTTCCTTTTCAGACCATGTTCACATGTCATGAAATTCAAAATTTGGCCCTAACTGTTCATCATAGGTCCTTGTTTACTTTTTGTCTACTTCGTAAGAATGGCTGTGGTGCAGTTTTGTTTTAATTAAGACAAACCGATGTCTCCCAAACATCCATTGCTCTCTGTGAGAAAGAAACAAAAGGAACAGTTTTGCTTGGCTGTTTAAGGATGGAGAAGCGGATCTTATTTCAGAACATGGGTCATCCTAGATGGACGAGGGCAGCTCAGGGTGGAGCAGCCATGAGATCTGGCAGGTCCAGACTCCCTGGCACCAGAATGGCAGCTCTCAGCAAGTGTCTGCTTGGCGTCTCCTGGAGTCTTGTTGGCATGGAAGAGAGACCTTGTACAACATTCCTCATATGTCATTCCCCTTAAAGAAAACATTTCTTCTCCTTTCTGTCTTCACCTCCAATCCCATGTTTGAGAATACAAATCAAACTTATTCTCGTTCATTCTAAAGGGAGTAGCACATCAAAAGTACACTGCTCCTTTCTTCAGTGCCTCTTACAAGGAGCCTGTGGGGATAGCAGCACTCTGCCCTTAGGGAACTATAGTCTAGCAGGGAAAGAAGAATGACATATTAGTTGAAGTGGATCGTCAGTTCAAGATTGGTTACATCTTCATTATCAAGATTGTCATCCTTCATTGATCACTCACTGTGTAGCAATGTCATGATGCTAGTTCTTAGGGATACAGAGTAGGCAGGCTGGGCATGGTGGCTCATGCCTGTAATCCCTATACTCTGGGAGGCCAAGGTGGGAGGATTCCTTGAGCTCAGGAGTTTGAGACTAGCCTGGGCAACATGGCGAAACCCTGTCTTTACAAAAAAATACACAAAAAGTAGCCAGGCATGGTGGTATGCACTTGTAGTCCCAGCCAGTTGGAGGCTGAAGTGGGAGAATCACTTTACTCTGGGTGGTCAGGGCTGCAATGAACTGAGATTGTGCCAATGCACAACAGCCTGGGTGACAGAGCAAGACCCTGTCTCAAAAAAAAAAAAAAAAAAAAAAATACCACACACACAAAGAAGCAAGGAAGGAAAGAAAAGAAAGAAGAAAGAAACACAGCATGCATTTGTGACTTCACATACCTAAGAAGGAATTATTGGTATGAGGTGGTTCATATTAATGTAAAATAAGTGAACTGATCTATATTTGCTACAGGACTTGTAAAGAGGAGTGGCCTGGGGAGTAGACCTTGAAAGACAGTGGGAGCCGGTATTTGGGGGCTGGGAGTGTTGCATGCTGGGTTTTCCAGGGAGCAGACCCTGAGAGGAGTTTAACATGCAAGATGGTTACTTGGGAGTTTCTTGGGATTGACACTCATGGAAGGAAGAGAATGAAGCAGGATGAGCAGTGGGAGGTGTCAAACTGAAATGCAGCCCCAAAGAAAGCCTTGGCACAGCCCACAAGAAACTCTGGAACAAGAATAGCATTTAGAGTTGTCCTAAGTTGGACTGAGCTGTCCTAAGTTAGACCCCTGCTTTGCTGAGTCACTGAATGTGTCCACAGGTGTGAGAGAAGGGCTGGATGCTGTGCCTCTCTCACAGTTGCAGGGCAGTAGTGGAAATGACTCTGGCTGAAGGACATTCTCCAAGGTTAGCTTTTAATTTTCCCCTGGCCAGGGATGTGACCCTCAGAGAGATGCCTTCCTGCAACTAAGTCAACCACCGAAAAGACTGATGGCTAAAGGCTGTTTGATAGTACACTCTTGCAGCTAAGGCAACGAGAGCTTTATTGATGGGGATTCTGGGCAGCTGTCAACATGTCACCATAGGAAGAATGGCATAAGCAAATGCATGCAGAACAGTTCTGATGAGCTGTGATGGACAGAACAATTGGACTGCAGTGGCTGTTACATTTGGAAGTGCAGTAGGAGGTGATGTTAGAGTGTTAGTAGGACGCAGGTGGAAGGTTCTAACTGCCCAGCTAAGGACTCTGAACTTTGTCCTGTGGACATTAAGAAAACACTAGATGGTCTGAGCAGTGGGGAGGTGTTACTAAGGTGTGAAATTGTGTTTTAAAGGGATACATCTGGCCTAGATGTAGAGGATGAATAGTAGTGGCAGGAGGTCCAAGGCAGGAAGATGGCCATAGACTAGTAATTCATGAAAGCGAATAGGGTGGGTCTCGAAAAGAGTCCTGGGTTGCAAGGTGAAATAACTGAGTTCTCATTCAAGCTCTTTGTCATTGACTTGACTGTGTAGGTCTTCCTCTTGGACCTCAATTTTGCCATCTGTAAAAATGATAAGCTCAGAAGTCCCTTTCCAGATGTAACACTTTGTGGTTCTACCTTAAAGTGATCTGTTCGTTTGTGTTCCTTCAACTGCGTGCTCATTGAAAGATGTTGAAGACTAGTGTAGTGTGAAACCAGACTTCTGGAAACTTTATTTTGGATATTTGTTTATTAACTGATTCCTCCACTCTATGGCCTTGCAAATCTTTGTATTTACACACAAAATTTGAAGCCAATGAATTATGGATTCAAGCTGAACCAGAGTCACGTATCAGCTATTACAAGCCTAAGGGTTTTGTTTCTTAATCAATTACAGTATATCTGGTAACTCAACACAGCTACCTGGAATACAGAATTAGCTTTCCGTATTGCACAGGGATGGATTGTCTTCACCTAAGTTTCTACTTAAATAATAATGAAAACGGGATTAACCCTGGCAGTAAAGAAATGAACCAGTTTGAGCCCATACTTGTTGAGGACTTAAGTAAATTATATTTCTTTTTCCCTTGTAAGTTTTGCATCATAGCTTGGTGTCATGCCCATAATCAGCAGATAATTTAGGGAAAAACAAAAGATAACAAATGACAAAGATAAATTCACTGATCAGAACTCTGGTCCCCTTCTTTTTCAAAATGGTTCACAGACAGATTTTTGCATGGGGGAGACTTTTTTTTGAGACAGAGTGTTGCTCTGTCGCCAGGCTAGAATGCAGTGGCATGATCTCGGCTCACTGCAACCTCCGCCTCCTGGGTTCAAGTGATTCTCCTGCCTCAGCCTCCCGAATAGCTGGGACTACAGGCACGTGCCACCACACCCAGCTAATTTTTGTATTTTTAGTAGAGACGGGGTTTCACCATGTTGGCTAGGATGGTCTCGATCTCTTGACCTCGTGATCTGCCTGCTTCAGCCTCCCAAAGTGCTGGGATTACAGGCATGAGCCACTGCGCCCGGCTGGGGGAGACATTTTAATTCGTTGATTCATTGACTCAAAACATGACTTTTCCTTCATTTATTACTGAAAGTATTAACTCTATGCATTTGTTCGTCCATTAACTAAATTATTAATTCATGCATTAATTTAGTATATATTATTAAGTCCCTCTTGTATGTCAGGTACAATGCTAATTGCCAGAGACACACTGGTAGGTAAAACAAGATCAAATCCCAAATTTTATGGAGCTTGTAGTCTAGTTCGAGATGGACATTAATCCATTAGTCACATGGTTTGTTCTGTAATTACAGACTGAAGTCAGGTAAGGCTTCTTTGAGGAAAATTGAGCTGAAATTTGAAGAATGAAAACTCAGTGGACTAAGTTAACAATGTGAGGATGAATTGTAGCTTTGAGTCAATGATGAATATAATTTCAACGTTATTAAAATTTTGGCATTTTATATTATTATGGACAAAAAGAAAAACCAATATACTGACTTAACCAAGTGTTGGAGGTCATTTTCTAGGTTAGAAGCAGAGCCCAAATTAATAGTGACCTGGAAATTAAGTCTCAAATGATAGGGGGATGGACATAATTCTTCCTAGAGCCTTGTTGGCTGCTCTGGGTCAATAATATTTGGAAGCTTGTGGTCCAAGTAAGTCAAGCGTAAGAGGTGCAACACCAAATATAAATCTGTGGGTGTTGGTGCTTTTTTTCTGATGTAAATTTTTTCCAGTGTGTTTGTGTCCTTTCCAAGAAGGTGGGCAGCTGTGCCAGGAAATTCGATGTATATGGTATGGAGATGTGGTGACTGGAATGAACAGAAAACTGTATATAGAAGCCTTAACCCTTTGATGCAGCATCTTTAATAAATGCAGAGGAGATACTGCAGAGGTGACATCCTCTTTATGGAGTTACTTTCATCTTGATTCACTACTTGCTCCTCATTCATCCCCTAACCCCAGGTGTGAAAAAATTTCCCACAGTGTTCAAGTGAGGAGTAAAAAGTTTTCCACCCAACGAGAATCCACCAACAATAGTTTGGGGGCAAATACCAGCCTAGAATAGATTGCTGTTTGACAAGGAGTAAAAATCATCAATAGTAGCGTGAGAAATGTGAAAAGATTCTGCATCATAACAACAACCTATGCCCTAAAGAGGTAAAGAGAGAATTTACAGAATGCAATTTATTATGAGAAACAATACATTTTAAATACCATTTGCTTTGGCTACTGATGCAATTGAAGAAAATATTAAGTGTTATGAAAACAACAAAATGAAAAGAGAATGAAGAGCAAAATTGGCTTTGTGGAAAATCAAATCAGTGGTATAGAAGACAAAAGTGCTAAAAAGAGAAGATGCTCTGTTTGGTTTATATTCCTTCTTCTGTTATTTTTAGTTTATTCCTTTATCGTTTTCACATTTTTTGGTATAGCCTTAGCATTTTCTTTACTTTTGATACTTTGCTGTAATAGACCAAAATTGCTTAAATTTATTCTCTATGGTGATTTTGAAAGTTTGAATTCTATTTAAAAAAATCCCATACTGGATATTACTAAAATTTATAAAATATATGATTAAATCTAATAAATGATTAATTTAATGTGTAGTTCTATTTTACATCCATATGTGAAGTGAATGTTCATGTATGCTTATGCATACACACACACACACATACATACACGCACAAATTTTCTTTCCCAAGAAAGTCTTTGGCTTTACTTTCAACTTTGTGACCTTATTTCCAAATTACTTATATCTTTCTAATGTCTATTATAACTTTCTGTAATTATGGAAATTTCCTATATTTGCAATATCTAATATAGTAGCCAGTAGTCACATGTGCATAACAAGTGCTTGAAATGTGGCTAGTGTAAATTTAAGGTCATGTTAAGAAAACAGATAACAATATAACTTAGATGACACAGCTCTGTAGAAGTTACTATATTTCTTTGATAACTCTATTTACAACCCACTGAAGTTTACACAAACATTTCTTCTCTTTTCCTCTGCCAAAATTATAGAGACCGTTTGCTCATATGCTCGCCTTTAGGTTTGTTCAACTCTCTCATCCATCAAGATTCAGCTCAATTGACACCTTCCCTGAGAATTATGCCCTGACTTCACAGGCTGAGGAGTCATTGTCCTTCCTTGTTCTTTCAGTGTGTATTGCCTGCTTGCAATCATGAGTTTTCGTTTATCTTCCAGTGAGATTAACCTTTTTGAGGGCAGCTACTAAATGGGGCTTGGTGAATGCTGTTGAGTCAGTAAGTGACTTCTAACTTTGCTTGACCTGCAAAACCCTGGCTACCTTTCTGAAGACTTGATGGTCTGAATGGTTAGGGTTCTGAACCATGCAGCAGTCATCTACATGAGGCCATTATTAACCTAACCAGGGACACTCACCTACCATTTTTAGTCAAGGAATTGGGATTTTGCTCTCAGCTTTTCAATTTTTTTGTGCTACTGATCTCAGGTGTGCAGAATTCTCTGTCCCAGTTTTCTCTTTTCACCTAGGGCAGCACAACCCCTGCAGGTGGTCCAGAGCATGCAGACCACCAACCAATCCCAGAAGGAGAGGTATGAGATAGAAACAATGCACTGGCTTCTTTCATTACTTACTTTGGTAGCTGTCAAATAATATTTCTTGTGGGAGTTTATTTAAAGCCTGTGCCCCTAAAATGTGGTCTGGGTAATATTCTTGATGAGTCGTTGGCACAACCCTGTGTTTTTCTATGTGAAATGGCTAACCATGGATGGAAGTAAATCACTAAGAAAAGTCGAAAAAGAATTTTTTTGAAAACTTGATATCATTAAACTTGAAAAACTGTGCTTTTTTTTTTTCTTGGAAAGAGAAGCCTACTGTAGATTGTCAAATATAAATGCTTTGATTATGGTTTGGGGTATGTTGAAATTAAGAGCTTTCTATGGTTATCTTGTGGTTGTAAATGGAGAGCAAGAAAATATATAAAGTGATCTATAGGAACCTGCTTGGAAGGGATGAAAAACATTACATCCATGTAGAGTACTATTTTGCTCTAATGTGATAAACGAAAGTGAAGCAGTTTGCGTTGTTATAACTTTATCTGAAGGTTGAAGATTTTAATAACATGTGGTTGTCATAATGATTTAGAAAGGATTTTTATCTTCATAAGTCATCATGAGAGTAAAGAGGTTTGGTTGTGTGGACACACATCCTCTAGAAAGAACAGGTTTCTCCACCTCACCACTGTTGACATTTTAGGTCAGATAATTCTTTGTGGTGGGGACTGTCCTGGGCACTGTATGTCAGGCCTCCACCCATTAATGCCAGTAGCACCTCCCTCTCCTCAGTTGCAACAACCATAAATGTCTCCAGGCATCTCAAAATGTTCCCTGGGGGGCAAAACTGTGTGACAGAAAAGCACCATTCTAGAATGTTTGTTGAAATATGTGAGGCTGGAAGTTAATAATCTGTAGCATCTGACTGCAGGCCTTGTTCGATCTGCCTTGGGATGTCCTGAGGCAGTTTCCATAAATATTGCTCGCAGGAATGCCAGCCACCAAGACAGGCTTCTTGGCAAGCGTTCACCGGAGAGAGCTGAATTTGGGCCTTAGGTTTTGAAGGCACAGTGAGATGACTTCTTTACACCCAGGTTGGATTGATTTATTTGTCAGAATAATTAACATTTTAAAAATGTTAGATGTTGTTTTAAAAATCCAGCAGTTTGGAAGAGGTACAAAGAAAACTACAAAGCACCCTACATCCTACTTTCTAGAAATAACTAGTGTTCATATGTGGTAAATAGCATTCTAAGCATTTTCATACACATACACAAACAGGGTTTTGGATAAGGTAAATACATAGACATAGGGCTATAGAAATGCCATTACATGATGCATGCCATTTTAAATTAAAAATATTTAATTTTATGTGAATTTAATAGATGATAAGGAAATGAAATAAAACTGAAGGATTTGCTAAATTGAGATGAATGTTTGATCACAGCAGAATAAATTATTTCCTTAAAGATACCTCTAAGTGTATCACAAAAGGTGAGGAGATTGGCGTTACTATGTTTTAAAATTTCATATTTAAATTTTAGTCAATGGTACTTAATTTCCCTACAACTTTCTTCCATTCACCTTCCAGATTTATATTGGTTATGTTATTATATATGCTAATTTAATATCGTATATGTTCCACACCCTAATTTTCCTGTTATTTATTCAAAGTTTAATGTTTAAATGGATTAAATGCTCACCACCATTCCTTTTATATGACTTTTATAATCCTGTTGTAAAAATTTTGAATCATTTCCTAGCTGGTTGGATTTCATCATCAACTTTTGAAAGAAAGGCTGTATTTACTGAGTTTTTCCATTTTTTTTTAACATTTGAACACCTTGGTGTTGCCTGTACTCTTTTAAAAAATTATTGTGGTAAAATATATATTGTTTAACATTTACCATTGTAACCATTTTTAAGTGTACAGTTTAGTGGCATCATGTACATTCACATTGTTGTGCAACCATCACCACCATCCATCTTTAGAACTTTATTTCCTCTTGCAAAACTGAACCTACTGTACCCATTAAATAATAACCCCCTATTCTCTCCTCCCCCAGTCCCTGACAACCACCATTCTACTTTCTGTCTCTGTGAATTTGACTACCCTAGGCACTTCATAAGTGGAATCATACAATATTTATCCTTTTGTGTCTGGCTTATTTCACTTAGCATAATGTCTTTAAAGTTCATCCATGTTGTAGCCTGTGCCCGAATTTCATTCTTTTCTGAAGCTAAATAATATTCCACTGCATGTGTACACTATATTTTGCTTCTCTACTTATTTGTCAGTGGACATTTGGGTTGTCTTCTCCTTTAGGGTTTTATGAATACTGCTGTTATAACAGAGTGGTACAAACATTTGTTTGAGTCCCTGCTTTCAATTTTTTTTTTTTTTGAGACATTCTTACTCTGTCGCCCAGGCTGGAGTGCAGTGGCATGATCTCAGCTCACTACAACTTCCACCTTCCGCCTTCCAGGTTCAAGTGATTCTTGTGCCTCAGCCTCCTGAGTAGCTGGGACTACAGGCGCCTGCCACCACATCTGGCTAATTTTTGTATTTCTAGTGGAGACAGGGTTTTGCCATGTTGGCCAGGCTGCTCTCGAACTCCTGACCTGAGGTGATTCACCTGCCTTGGCCTCCCAAAGTGCTGGGATTACAGGCATGAGCCACTGCATCTGGCCCCCTGCTTTCAATACTTTTGGGTATATACACAGCAGTGGAATTGCTGGATCATATGATAATACATCAGACTTTTTGAGGAACTACCGTAATGTTTTCCACAGTGGCTGTACCATTTTACATTCCCACCAGCAATGAACACATGTTCTAATTTCTTCACATCCTCACTGTATTAGTCTGTTTTCACACTGCTGAAAAAGACATACCCAAAACTGGGTAATTTATAAAGGAAAGAGGTGTAATTGGCTCACAGTTCCACATGTCTGGGGAGGCCTCATACTCATGGCAGAAGACAAAGGAAGAGCAAAGGGACATCTTAATATGGTGGCTGGCAAAGAGATTATTTGTGCAGGGGTACTCCCTTTTATAAAACCATCAGATGTTGTGAGACTTATTCGCTATAATGAGAACAGCAAAAGAAAGACTCGCCCTCATGATTAAATTACCTCCACGGGGTCCCTCCAATGACAGATGGGAATTATGGGAGCTGCAATTTGAGATTTGGGTGGGGACACAGCCAAACCATATCATTTCACCCCTGCCCCCCCCCCAAATCTCATGTCCTAACATTTCAAAATCAATCGTGCCTTCCCAACAGTCCCCCAAGTCTTAACTCATTTCAGCATTAACTCAAAAGTCTACAGTCTAAAGTCTTATCTGAGACAAGGCAAGTCACTTCTGCCTATGAGCCTGTAAAATCAAAAGCAAGTTAGTTACTCTCAAGATACAATGGGGGAACAGGAATTGGGTAAATACACCATTCCAAATAGGAGGAATTGGCCCAAACAAAGGGGCTACAGGGCCCATACAAGTCTGAAATCCAGTGGGGCAGTCAAATCTTAAAGCTCCAAAATGATCTCCTTTGACTCCATCTCTCACATCCAGGTCACGCTGATGCAAGAGGTGGGCTCCCATGGCCTCGGGCAGCTCTGTCCCTGTGGCTTTGCAGGGTATAGCCCCTCTCCTGGCTGCTTTCACAGGCTGGTATTGAGTGTTTGCAGCTTTTCCAGGCACACGGTGCAGGCGGTCAGTGGATCTACCATTCTGGGGTCTGGAAGAAGGTGGCCCTCTTCTCACAGCTCTACTAGGCAGTGCCCCAGTGGTGACTCTGTGTGGGGCCCGCACCCCAAATTTCCCTTCTTCACTGCCCTAGCAGAGGTTCTCCATGAGGGCTTGCCCCTGCTGCAAACTTTTGCATGGACATCCAGGTATTTCCATACATCCTCTGAAATCTAGGTGGAGGTTCCCAAAGCTCAATTCTTGACTTCTCTGCACCCACAGGCTCAACACCACATGGTAGTTGCCAAGGCTTGGGGCTTTCACTCTCTGAAGCCATGGCCTGAGTTGTACCTTGGCCCCTTTTAGCTGAGTGGCTGAGTGGCTGAGTGGCTGAGATGCAGGGCACCAAGTCCCTAGGCTGCACACAGCAGGGGGGCCCTGGGCCCTGGCCCATGAAACCATTTGTTCCTCCTACGCCTCTGGGCCTGTGATGGGAGGTGCTGCTGCAAAGGTCTCTGACATGCCCTGAAGACATTTTCTCCATTGTCTTGGTGATTAACATTTGGCTCCTTGTTACTTATGCAAATTTCTGCAGCTGGCTTGAATTTTTCCTCAGAAAATGGGTTTTTCTTTTCTATCACATCTCAGGTTGCAAATTTTCTGAACTTTTATGCTCTGTTTTCATTTCATTATGAATGCTTTTAACAGCACCCAAGTAACCTCTTGAATGCTTTGCTGCTTAGAAATTTCTTCCACCAGATACCCTGAATCATCTCCCTCAAGTTCAAAGTTCCACATATCTCTAGGGCAGGTACAAAATGATGCCAGTCTCTTTGCTAAAGCATAGCAAAAGTCACTTTGCTCTAGTTCCCAACAAGTTCCTCATCTCTATCTGAGACCACATCAGCCTAGATTTCATTGTCCATATCATTATCGGCATTTTGGTCAAAGCCATTCAACAAGTCTCTAGGAAGTTCCAAACTTTCCTGTCTTCTTCTGAGCCCTCCAAACTGTTCCATCCTCTGCCCATTACCCAGTTCCAAAGTTGCATCCACATTTTCAGGTATCTTTACAGCAGCACCCCACTCTACCAGTACCAATTTACTGTATTAGTCCGTTTTCATGCTGCTGATAAAGACATACCTGAGACTGGGTAATTTATAAGTAAAAAAGGTTTAATTGACTCACAGTTCTACATGGCTGAGGAGGCCTTACAATCCTGGTGGAAGAGGAAGGAAGAGCAAAGGGACATCTTACATGGTGGCAGGCAAAGAGAGAATGTGTGCGGGGAAAATCCCCTTTATAAAACTGTCGGATGTTGTGAGACTTATTCACTGTCATGAGAACAGCCCAAGAAAGACCTGCCCTCATGATTAAATTACCTTCCACCAGTTCCCTCCCACAACACATGGGAATTATGGGAGCTACAATTCAAGATTTGGATGGGGACACAGCCAAACCATATCACTCACTAACAGTTAACTTTTTTCCTGTTTGTTTGTTTTATAATAGTCATCCTAATGGGTATGAAGTGGTATCTCCTTTACATTTCCCTAATGGGTATAAAGTGGTATTTCATTTGCATTTCCCTAATGATTAGTGATATTGAACACCTTTTCATCTGCTTATTGACCATTTATATATCTTCTTTGGATAAATATCTATTCATGTCTTTTGCCCAATTTTTAACTGGGCTATTTCTTTTTTTTGTTGCTGAATTGTAAGAATTCATTATATATTCTGGATATTAACCCCTTGTCAGATATATTATTTTCAAATATTTTTCCCATTCTGTGGATTACCTTTTCACTCTGTTAATAGTGTCCTCTTATGCACAAAGGTTTTAATATTGATGAGGTGCTTTTATTCTTGAATAGGGCTTAGGCAGTTGTAATATTCTTGGGTGATTTTTTTCTTGTGGGATTTTGTAGGCACTGCTTCCTTGTGTTCTGGCATTAGATGTTGCTGTGGAGAAGGCAGACCTTTCCCCTTGCAGGTCACTTGCTTTCACTGCTCGAACATCTCAGAAATTCTTCTGATCCACATCTTTCCTTTTTTTGTTTTAATTAGAAAAATAGAGAAATAGAAAAGTTAAGAGACTAGTATAATAAACTCATGTGTACCCATACCCAGAAGTAACTCATGTTAATACTTTATCATTTTTGAATGACATTTTTTTTTTTTTTGAGATGGAGTCTCGCTCTGTCGCCCAGGCTGGAGTGCAGTGACTCGACCTCCGCTCACTGCAAGCTCTGCTTCCCGGGTTCACGCCATTCTCCTGCCTCAGCCTCCCGAGTAGCTGGGACTACAGGTGCCCGCCACCATGCCCAGCTAATTTTTTGTATTTTTAGTAGAGACGGGGTTTCACCATGTTAGCCGGGATGGTCTTGATCTCCTGACCTCATGATCCGCCTGCCTTGGCCTCCCAAAGTGCTGGAATTACAGGCGTGAGCCACTGGGCCTGGCCAGCAGTATTTTTTTAAATCAATGTTTTGACATGCACATAGTTTAATAAGTTTCTTGGGTTGGGTTCTAAGAAGAAGACCTGAGATGAAGATTCGTATCCAAGTGATTTATTCCAGTGGAACCCAAAAAGGAAGTGAGAGAAGTGGAAGACAGGAAGGAGCACAGCAAAGATGGGATTTAGGGTGAATCTCAGCCATTGCCTATCCTGTGGCAGCTCTGGAGGGTAAATTACTCAGAAGAGTTTGTCCTGCCTTAGGGCAGCTTGGCCTACATCTAAATTTTGAAATATATTAACATAAAGAAACATAATATATTTCATAATATGAAATATATTAACATAAAGATGTTTTTCATCCTCTTACCATTTTAGGGCCTACAGAATCTGCAGTGATATTCCACATTTCATTCCTAAAATTGATTTTTAGTGACTTTTCTCTCTTATTCTTTCATAGTCTTGCCAAGGAATTTAATTTTATTAGTCTTTTTTAATTTGTTGATCCTCTTGCTTATATTTTTGTTTTCCATTTCATAATTGCTGTTGTCATCCTTATTATTCTACTTTCTTTGGGTTGTATGTGTTGTCATTTTTCTGTCTTGAAATAGTTTAAGATCATTGATTTTTTCATCTTTCTTCTTTTCAAATATGTGCATTTAAAACTACAGATCCCCTTCCAAGCATAGCTTTAGCTGCTTTACTCACGTTTTGGTATGTAATATATTCATCTTCATTCATTAAGAGTATTTTCTAATTTTCATTGTGATTAATTTTTAACCTATGGAATGTGTTTGGACATTTTCTAGTTTTAAACTTGCTTTTTTGCTTTGTTGTCAGAGAAAAAACTTGTATTATTTCAATCTTTGAATTTTTGAGACTTTTCTATATGGCTCAGATCATGATAAATGTTTATAAACATTTCATAAATACAAAAAATATATATTCTGAGATGGTTAGTTGTAGCTTTCTATACAGTTACATAGTTTCAATTTGTAATTTAATTGTTTCCATATTCTGTATCGTTACTTATTTTTTTCACCTGCTTGATAAGTTAATGATAGTTGTGTTAAAACCTCCCACCATCATTATGGATTTTTCTATTTCTTCTTACAGTTCTGTCAGTTTTTGCTTTATATATTTTGTGGTTATGTTGTTAGGTACTTTCACTTTTAGAATTTGTTCCATCCTAGTGAAATCAAACTTCCAACAGTATGTAGCATCTCTCTGTCTTAAAGTCTACTTTGTCTAATTAGTGTGACTAAGCCAGATTTATTTTGGTTAGTAGGCTTATGGTAAGTATTTTTTTCAATCTTTTATTTTTAATCTTTCTGGCCATTATATTTAAGGAATGTCTCTTTTAAACAGAATATAACTGAATTTTTAAATTTTATCCTGACAATCTGTCTTTTAATTGGTGATTTATTCTATTTGGGTTTAATGTAATTGATATATGTGCATTTAAATCTTCCATTTTACTCTGAGCTTTTAAAATTTATCCATCTGCCTACATTCCTTTTTCTCTCCATTTTTGCCTTCTTTTGGATTGATTAAATGTGTTTTCTTATTATATCTTTTCCCATATACATTAATTTGGAAGTCATACACTCTTTTCTGTTTTTTTTAGTGGTAACTCTAGAGCTTAAAACATCTATCCTTGACTTATCAAAGTCGAATATTAATTGGTTCTTTTATCTTCTTCATGGATGATACAAGGACCTTAGGATACTTTAAGGCCATTTATCTCTCTTCTGACTCATAGGCTGTCATTGTCAGGTATGTTAATTCCATATAAATATTTAAAACTCCACAATCCATTATAATTGCTGTTTTACACAGTTGCTTTTCTTTTAATTTACCTACGTTTACCATTCTTATTTTTGCTCTTCATTTCTTTCATCATCTCCAAGCTTCCTTTAATCTTAAAAACACCATTTAATATTTTCTTTAAGACTGGTCTGCTGAAGATGAATTCTCTTTTGTCTGACAATCTCTTTCTTTTACTTTAATTTCCTGGAGGACATTTTTGCTTTTGTAGTTGTCCTCAATGGCATGGTTGATCTGTATTATCTAGCCCACCATTCCTCTCCATCAGACTTTTAAATTTGGCAACCTGCAGTTCTCTCTTTTTAATCTTACCTGATGTTGTGTTATATATGCTTCATGATGACTAACCCAAGAGCATAGATAATATCCTATTAAATCTTCCCTCATGTAAAGTATCTTTATGTTTAAGAATTTATTTTTAACAAAAATAAAGTCAGTATGAAACAAAGCTGTCATTGTATTTGAATGTTGTCTCTTGCTACAATCTGAGAGGACCTGGTTATGATTCTTAGAAAAGAACAAGCTACTTGTCTAGTAGGTATAAACACTGATTGCATTAATAGGGAAAAATAACCTAGATATTGTCAGGCATGATATTGGTTTGTATGGGGATTGTCACTGGAGATGTGGCACATGTGATTCCTCAGATGGTCTCCTGCAGGGCCCGTGGTTTCTTTTGTGTTAGTGCTTGCATAGGTACATCCCAGAATATGATTTTTTTTTTTTTGAGATGGAGTCTCGCTCTATCACCAGGCTGGAGTGCGGTGGCGTGATCTCAGCTCACTGCAACCTCCACCTCCTGGGTTCAAGTGATTCTCCTGCCTCAGCCTCCTGAGCAGCTGGGGCTACTGGTGTGAGCCACTGCGCTTAGCCAGAATATGATTCCTAAATACACTAATATCTTATGTCTGAAATACTGCAAAGTTCACATGTGGAAAGGGAGTAGAGTTTAGACACTGGGCCTCATGGAATGACATATATTCTGCTTCTGTGGACACACTCTGATCTTAGCGTGCAGTAAAGACAACTATCTTAGTCAATTTGTGCTGCTATAATGAAATACCTGAGACTGGGTAATTTGTAAAGAACAAAAATGTATTCTCTCATGTTCTGGAGGCTGGGAAGTCTGAGTTCAAGGCACCGGCAGGTTTGGTGTCTGGTGAGGGCTCTTCTCTCTGCTTCCAAGATGGTGCCTTGTTGCCATGTCCTCTAGAGGGCACGAACGCTATGTCCTCACGCGGTGGGAGGGCAGAAGAGAGGGAACTAACTCTCTCAAGCTCCTTATAAGGGCCCTAAAGGCTCCACCCTCATAACTTAATTACCTCCTAAAGGCCACACTTCTTAATACTATCACATTGGTGATCAACTTGCAACATATAAATTTCCAGGGACACATTCAGACCATAGCAAAAACCAAATGCCCTTTGTTTTATTTTTCAGCTACATGTTGTATGTATGCTTCTTACTTCTGGAAAATAATGCCGTTCTATAGCAATACTGTGAAGAATCTTATATCAGTTATAAATATACATGTCTTTTGATTTACTTCTTTTTTTTTTTTTGAGATAGAGTCTCACTCTGTCACCCAGGCTGGAGTGCAGTGATGCAGTCTCGGCTCACTGCAGCCTCTGTCTCCCAGGTTCAAGCAATTCTCGTGCCTCAGCCTCCTGAGTAACTGGGACTACAAGTGCACACCATTACACTTGACTAATTTTTGTATTTTTTTAGTAGAGACGGGGTTTCACCGTGTTGGCCAGGCTGGTCTCGAACTCTTGAACCTCAAGTGATTCCCCCCACCTCAGCCCCCTGAAGTGTTGGGATTACAGGCATGAGCCACCACACCTGGACTTGATTTACTTTCAAGCTGACAGTCATTTGTCACCAACAAGCTCCCAGTTTGATCTACAGAGGCCAGGAAAATAATACGAATCCTCACAGTGGCTGGATGGGGACTGGGCATATTAGAGGTCACATGCCCTTTAAAAATCGGATGGCCACACTCAGTTTTAATTATTGCCATGCTGTGATGTGAATTTTATTTTATTTTCCTGAGAAGTCAGAAATCTAGATTTTTTTTTTTTTTGAGACAGGGTCTCACTCTAGGCCTCAGAAATCTATATTTTTATGTGAAATCTTCGTATATTTAAACCTTAACAAATAATTCTTTTTTTTTTTTTTTTGAGACAGAGTCTCGCTCTGTCACCCAGGCAGGAGTGCAATGGCACGATCTCGGCTCACTGCAAGCTCTGCCTCCCGGGTTCACGCCATTCTCCGGCCTCAGCCTCCTGAGTAGCTGGGACTACAGGCGCCCACCACCATGCCTGGCTAATTTTTTTGTATATTTAGTAGAGACGAGGTTTCACCCTGTTAGCCAGGATGATCTCAATCTCCTGACCTCGTGATCCGCCCGCCTTGGCCTCCCAAAGTGCTGGGATTACAGGCGTGAGCCACCGCACCCGGCCTAAGAAATAATTCTTTTTAGGGGCTCGTTTGGCAGAATATACAATCATTGTTAAATAACTCAGACCTGCAGGCCAGATTCCTCCCAGAGACCAACAGCTTGCCCCCTTTATCTTAACCATTATCAGGTAAACTGCTCTCATTCTGTACACACAGGTGCTGAGAATCCTACCTCAAGGGTGGGCTTGAGGATGCTTGGGAAGCCTGAATGATATTGGCATTTGCCACAAATCATTTAATACAGAAGCCTGGGAGTCATCCTAACATCTCCTTTCTTCCTGCATCTGGTCAGCTGCCAGCTCCTATTGATTCCAGCACCTTTGAACTTTGCATCTATGCTCTCCTCCTCCAGACACTGGTAAATCTAGTCTAGGCTCTTGTCTCTTGCATGTCAGTGGCCTTCTAGCTATGCTCTCTGATGTGAGGCTTTGCTCCCTCAGTCCTTACCCACACTCCTGCCAGAGTAAGTTTTCCAAAATACAGTCTGCCTAAGTCACTCCTCTGCTTAAAAATAGTCCAGTGAGTCAATAAATTACTGTGCTGGAAAGCTTCTCTTTGCCCTCCAGATCCACTCTCCACCCTTCCCTGCCCCGCGCTCCACCCAATGGGAAGCTGACCTGCATGGACAGCATCAATGGTCTCCCTTGCCCTCTGGCTTCTGGTTGGGTTTGGCAAATAACGAGCACTGCAGGGCGACTGGAGAGAGGGAGGACAGAAGTGTGTTTGTTTACTTCCCCAGCTCTCTCTTTGTGGGTTGCTGTGGGCTCTGATTCTCAACCGAAGGCCTTAGTTCCTCTCAGGCAGCCCTGTATACACAGCCCCTGCCTGCCCTTGCCCCATCTAGCGTGCAGGGCCAAGGCAGATAATGAGAATCGTCAAATCCACAGAATCTGGCTGGCACCAGCCCCAGGGTGCTGCACCAGGCTTCATGGTTTCCCTGTACCCTGTCCACTACCTTGGTAAATAGCGTGTTTTAAAAATGCTTCCCAAGCAGGATGGCAAGTGTGTTAGTGTCTGAAATAATGAAAAATGTTGTGTGCTCAGCATATGGGATATGTGGTGCTAGCAGGAGCCACCAGAGATGAAGCTGAACAAAGGGTAGGATAGGGCACAAACAGCCTAGAGGAGCAGAATGTGTGTCCTGAGGAATTAGTGAAGGGCTTTAAAGGTGGTAAAATAATTAGGAGCACATTGACTAGGAAAGTGTCAACCAAATCCTAGAGGCCATCAACTGTCAGGGTAATGAGTTTTGGAGCAGCAGAGGGTAGAATGGACTGAAGAAGAGAGAAGTAAAACACAGAGGTACGGAGCATTTCTCAACAGTACCTAGCACACAGCTTTAGATATATGGGTGTTGAATATATCCTGGTCAGACTGAATTGTTGAGTCTGTGTGACAGCTTGAGTGACATTTTTATGCCGTTCACCCAATTCATATTTTAAAATTTCTTTTGTTAAAGACCTTAAGGTAGTATTAACCTGAAAGAATGTATTTACTGTTAACTAAATCTGGGTCGTTTGAGATCCCCTTAAATAACCTTTGTGGTAACATTGGAATGAACATTTATTTGATGTCTGGGAAGTAATATCCCAGTGGAACTCATTTTATTTTGGGTTGTTTTTAATATGGAGCTGTTAATATAGCATTTCCAATAAGTGACCTTATATGTGAAATCTGTGTTTAATTACTAATGTTTTAGCAAGACTAGTAGAACTGTACTATTCATTATAAGTCACAGATTTAAGAACTTGTCAGGAAAATATTTTATGATTTGATTTATGCCTGGGGATCCAAGAAAGGCAAGCAGTACTTGAGTCTTTATGAGATGGTGAACATACTTATTCCTACAATATTTTTGGCTTTTACCAACCCTATTATATAATGAGTAAACAATATCTTTTTTGGAATTTTTCATCCAAAATATTCCCTAGCTAGAGCTTTACTTAGGAAAATATGATTTCCTAAGAGATCCTTAAGCCTGATAATTTGAACCAAACAACACAAAGTGCATACTGCTTCTTTGGAAGTGTTTTCATAGCTTTCCTTTTAGTGTTTTCCTTTTCCCTTTAAAAAAAAAGAACTTTTATTGGGTGTTTTATTGTGCAAACTATACATGTTTGTCATATAACATTAGAAATTATAGATGATCATAAAAGAAGAAAGTAAAAAGTGTTTGTAATTCCATCACAATTAGAAAACAGAGGTGAGCACAAAATAAGGACTCACATGTAACCTATCATACGGAAGAAGGTGATAGGGATACATGAGGTGCTTCCAGCTTCCAGCAGGGTTGGTATGTTCAGTGGAAAGTCTATCCCAGCTCTCCTAACCAAGGTACAAATTGCTCCTGTTTCAGGGTCTCCTTCCCCTGGGCCCCTTGTGTCTGTTGCTCTTGACAACCAAAGGTTGCCATTGCCTCACCACAGCCCTTGTCCCTCTCACCTGATGCTCATTGATTTGTGAGCTACTTGAGGGCCAGATCCACATTGTATTCACAGGGCACTGAGCACAGAGCCTTGAACTTAGCAAGCTCTTGGTATAGTTTGTGTGAGAAAATGAACGAATGCATGTGAGTTCATGAACATCAGTCAGAAATGCGAATTCCTCATGAAAGAAGCTAGATAAAATGAAATACTTTTGAAAAGCAGAAGTGTAGCTCTACTTGCAATATAGAGGGGGAAAAAAGTAAAAGACTTCATAGAGATATCGAAAGAATGTTGTGGTCAAGCAGATCACAGCAGCAGATGTATTTGATCCAAGAGGCGAAATGCTAACTGTGAGTGATGATAGCTGGGCTGCTGTATTTGACTGGATTCCTGGTCGTGAAAGGAAGTGGAGCATCAGTGGGGAAAACACACAGATGTCCATAAAGAAAATGCAGGCTTTGTCTGGGGTAAGACAGAAAGCGCTTCTGCCTAGGCCCCTTCTTTAAGAAGAAAATAACTTTTATTGGATGTTTTATTGTAAAATTATACACGTTCATTGTATGACATTAGAAATTATAGATGATGGCTGGGCGTAGTGGTTCATGCCTGTAATCGCAGCACTTTGGGAGGCCTAGGCGGGCGGATCACCTGAGGTCAGGAGTTCAAGACCAGCATGGCCAACATGGTGAAACCCTGTCTCTACGAAAATACAAAAACAGGCCGGACGTGGTGGCGAGTGCCTGTAATCCCAGCTACTTGAGAGGCTGAGGTGGGAGAATCGCTTGAACCGGGGAGGCAGAGGTTGCAGTGAGCCAAGATTGTGCCACCGCACTCCAGCCTGGGTGACAGAGTAAGACTTCGTCTCAAAAAGAAAAATAAAAGAAATTATCGATGAGCCTTGGACACACATGGTTCTCAAAGCCACAGTTGTTCACCTGCAAAATGGGGATGGTGATATCTATCTTAAAGGGCTTGCTGAGAAGGTTAGAGAGAAGGTGGGAAAAGTACTGGCAGGCAGTACTCACGCTGTGCATTAATAATGGTTAACAGTGCTTGCGTTATGTAGGACAAGCTTGTTCAGGTCTTCTTCCATGCTCTGCCTCAGATTCTGGCCCCAGACAGGGTCACAGAGTGACATGATATTGATTGAAGCACACTTGGATTGGGTCCAAATAACAACTTACCATATAAAATAATAACAACATGGAATTTAAATAATTACTTGAGACAACCTAAAGAGATGTTTGAACAGGGGGAATTGGGAGCAGCTATACTCAACTGACAAACACAGACATTCACCTGGGTTACAATCAGGCCAAAGAGCCAGCTGATATCAGTCAGCTGTATTTTATTGTCATTAACCTTCAGAGCTGGGGCTAACCAATGTGGAGCTGCTACATACCGCTTCTCTCAGGAGGTTTACCACCACCATGCAGCCCAAGAATACAGGTTCCACCCTGCCGGATCCAGTTCCTTCTGATGGCTGATTTCTTCCCTCCCCACAAACCTTTCTGCCTCCTGACATTTGATGACGGTAATTGGTATTATTTCATATTTTTATTGTAACATTAAACTGTGTTCACAGACTCCAAGTCTGATTAGTTGGCTGCTTACTTGGCATTATGGTCGGCTTACTAGTTTAAAAAGCAGAAATATGCATTAATGGAATGCTGTAAGATTAGAGAGCTATGTCCCACACATTTATCAGGGACTTGAGTGAAGACACGGAAGCTGCAGAGCTGAGCACAGTGGCTCGTAGATAGGGTGACAGGATCAGGGTTCAAACAGATCTCAACAGGCTGGTATTCTGGGCCAAAACCAACAAGAGGAAATTCAGTAGTGATGAATGTTAAGTCTTGCATAAGTACAAATGGGAGAGAGCTGGTTCTCCCATCATTGTTTTGAAAAAGACACATTATTTTTGAAGAGGAAAAACAATTGCTTACCCTTATTGAGATACTCACCAACTGCATGCGTGGAGATGCTGCCTGTACTTTATATGTGTTATTTTATTTAAATCTTGTTTGGGTAAAGATTATCATCTCCATTTCATAGATGAGTTTTAGAAAGTTTAAGAAACTCAGAGTCAAACAGCTTTTAACTATTATGTGATGCTGTCTCCAGAGCAGATTCCAACAAATGGGCTGGCTGAAAAACGAAGGAATGGAGGGAGGGAGAGAAGAAGGAAACTTAGGTTTTATCTGAAGAAACCTGGATCATAGGTGCAATGTATAGTCTGTGTTCTTAGATTCAGTGTTGTATTCTGGACCCTACATTTTAAGACTTAAAATGTGCAAATTTCGATGTGCGCCAAGAGAGAGCATAGTTGCAAAGGATCTGGGAACGTAGAAGGAACTAGGAGGCCTTCAGAAAGCTTGAGAAGGACTCTTCTGTAGAAGAGGATCAAGGCTCTGTCCACTGCTCTAGAGGCATGGAAGCTCCAGGGAAGCAGGTTCTGTTTCACTGCAAGGAAGACGACGCAAACATACATTTTCAGCAATGGCCCAAGTGGCGCTTCATTCTGCTTCAGTGGAGTTATTTCTGAATGTCTGTGTTATCATTATGCTGCTAGGATGAAAGGGAAGAGAGCAGAACTGGGTGGAAATCTGGGATATTATTGCTATTACTCTCCAGAGAAATAATACATTAAAAAGGCAGAAGGGCTGGCTGCTGGAGACGGCATTGGGGTTTCAAAACAAAATCCAAGCGTCTTCCTGGCTGAGGAGAGGAGAAACACTCAAGGACCCCTCTTGAGGTGCCATTCGTGCTCTACTTTCTTAGAGGGAAAATATCTTACCTATCCAATCAGAGAAGCCAAATGCTTGCACTTATAACATGCCTATTTTAGTTATTTTAGAATCAAGATTCTTTTTTTTTTTTGTAAGTTAAGGTAGAGAAGTTATGGAAAGAAACCTGATTCTAACTATGAACTGAACAGATGGAATAGTGGGAATAAAAACAAATTAAAACAGTATTGCAAAAACTCTCAACTTTCATTTAAAAATATATATGATGATGTTTTTCAACTTTTCACATTCAACCTTTTGGTATATCGAGTGACAAAATGAAAAATCAATTTCAGCTGTGTATATTTTAAACATTTACCTAAATGATTTGGACTTACCCAACCTAAAAGTCCAGATGAATGTATTAAACTGCTTATTGTATCTTTTGTGAATTAAAACTTTATTTTTTATTATGTTATAGACAGGGCACAGTTATGTTTGGTGACGTTTACTATAGAAAATTGAACTGAACAGTGGTCTAATTAGAACAGTAAATAGTATGGGTTTAATTAGCCCCTATTCCTGATGACAGATTTGATCAGTCACCAGATATTTATCCTTTCCTTTCACTTGACTGTTACTGAAATATTGCCTCTAGCAGGACTGCTTACTGTGCTATAAATAGGTAGCTTGGCAAGAAGCCATAAAGCCCATTGACCAGTGAGACTTGAGTGAAAATTATTGGAAAACCCCCTCTTTGCTTCCAGTCATTATTTCTTCATTTCACTTTTGAAGGTCCTTTCCACAGGTCCCTCTTTTAATTTAATTTTTCTTTTTTTTTTTTTTTGGTTAGATGAGGTAACTTGCCTAAGGGCTTAAGGAAACCTTTGCAGTATCTAGTTCAGTCACATGCTGCAGTTTATTAGTATGTCACAGTTTCTTTCATAAACTTTGCTGTTCTCCAGCTTAGAACTTACCTATTAAATTCTGTCTGACTTGAACTTTTCTGTACACCAAGAATATGTGGTTTTTGTTTGTTTGCTTCCTTGTTTTTAATTAAGGTATGATGTGTTTTATTAAGAAAAGTCTACAAAATGCAGAGAAACAGCAACAACAACAAAAATACGTTAAAGTCACCCAAATCCCTCACACATAGAGGTAGCAATGGTAATATTTTAATTAACCTCTCACTCCTCTCCCTATGCATGTACAAAGTATACATGCATGAAAAATGATATGGATTTAATATGATTATCTAATGATTGTCTTTTTCCCCACCCCAATATTTTTAAAATAGAAATTTCAAAAACCATGAAAGTTCAAATAGTAATAAAACTGGCATTTAACAATTTATCATATTCTGGGTGGGACTAGGGAAAATTAAACATTCAGTTGAAGTTCATTTCCTGTCTTTTCCCAACAACATTCGTTCCTAGTCCTACTTACTCCATTCTTAGAGCTAATTTGGTATGTTTCCAGCCTATATACCTCCAGCCTACATACGCGTTCTTTTACTGGTACATTTTGCGTATATACGCCTATGCCTATAGCTTTATCTGTAGAGAAGAGATAGAAAATGATATATGTGTTTTTATTTTAATGTAATTAAACCTATCAGTCTTTTCCCTTATAATTTCTACTTTTATTGCTATATCTAAGATAGTCTTTCCTATACAACTATTGGTGTAGGTATATCCAAGATTAATCTATTAATCTATAATATTTCTAATATTTTATGGTTTCAGTATTTTAACATACATTTCTAATAGATCTGGAATTTATTTTGGTATATTCTATGAAGAAGTTATCTATGATTTTTAAAAACACAAAACACGCCGGGCATGGTGGCTCATGCCTGTAATCCGAGGACTTTGGGAGGCTGAGGCGGGCGGATTATGAGATCAGGTTCGAGACTGTCCTGGCTAACACGGTGAAACCCCATCTCTACTAAAAATACAAAAAATTAGCCGGGTGTGGTGGCAGGCACCTGTAGTCCCAGCTACTCAGGAGGCTGGGCCAGGAGAACTGCTTGAACCCACCCAGGAGGTGGAGGTGGTAGTGAGCTGAGATCACATCACTGCACTCCAGCCTGGGTGACAAAGTGAGCCTCTATGTCAAAAACAAAACAAAACAAACAAAAAGCCCACAAAACATTTGTCACATTGATTTGTGGTGCTATACTGTGTCCTTATACTTGATCTGTTTCTGGACTCTTTTTTTTTTTTTTTTTATTTTAATAGGTCCATTTGTTTATTGCTGTGCCAATTCTCTACTCTTAATTGAGACAATTTTCCTCTCATTTTACTTCTTTTAGAGTTCTTTTAATTGTGTTTAAAAAAACTTGTAACATGAGATCTACCCTTTTAATAAATTTAGAAGCGTATAGTACAGTATTGGTAATTATAAGTACAATGTTGAAAAGCAGATCTCTAGAACTTTTTAATTTTGCATGGTTGAAACTTTATACCCATTGGACAGTAACTCTTCATTTCCTTATCACCCCAGTCCCTGGCAACCACTATTGTACTTTCTGCTTCAATGAGTCGGTCTATGTTAGATACCTCATATAAATGGAACCATGCAGTATTTGTCTTTTGTGACTGGCTTGTTTCACATAACCTAATGTCCTCAAGATTCATCCATATTGTGGCATGTGATAGGCTTTCCTTCTTTTTAATGGCTCCATAGCATTTCGTTGTGTGTATACCACATGTTGTTTATCCATTCATCTGTTGATGGACATTGGGTTGCTTCCATGTCTTGGCTATTGCAAACAATGAGTGTGCAGATATCTCTTTGAGATCCTGATTTCAGTTCTTTTGGATAAATACCAAGAAGTTGGATTGCTGGATCATATAGTAATTCTATAGTAATTCTATCTTCCTTCACAATTTTTTAGCTTTTTTTCTTTTTTTTTTCTGAGACAGAATCTCGCTCTGTCACCCAGCCTGGAGTGCAGTGGCACGATCTCAGCTGTCACCTCTGCCTCCCGGGTTCAAGCAATACTGGTGCCTCAGCCTCCCGAGTACCTGGGACCACAGGCATGTGACACCACGTCCAGCTAGTTTTTTTGTATTTTAGTAGAGATGGGGTTTTGCCATGTTGCCCAGGCTGGTCTTGAACTCCTGAGCTCAGGAAATCTACCCACCTTGGCCTCCCAAAGTGCTAGGATTATAGACATGAGCCACCACGCCCGGCCTCCTTTGGCTCTTATAGGTATTTATGCCACTAGATGAACTTTAGAAACATTTGTTATGTTTCAAAAATTTTTCTTTGGGGATTTTGATGGGACTTGCTGTAAACTTATAGATAAACTTGGAGAGAAGTAGCATTTTACAGTATTGAGTCTACTCATTCAGGACTATGGTTGTTTCTTCATTTATTCAAGTATATTTTAGACCCCTTAGTAAAGTTTTGTAACTTAATAATGAGCTTTATTTCTTTTCAGGTCTATACCTACATCTATGTACTTTTTACTTGTAATTTCCCTTCTTCTCTGTAGTATTCTGAATTAAGTCAATGGTGGAAAGTCTAGGAGACCAATTAAACCAAACTGTACTCATAATTGACTCTTCCCTATTTTCTTGGATTCAAAACCTTTATAACTTGGCCAACTATGTTCATATGACTTTGTTTTCTAGGAATGGAGATTCTCTCAGGAGGTTCCACAAATCCTTATGCAAGGTTTCTTGGGAGTTACCGCCAGTCTGCCTGACACACAAGCAAGTCAGAATTTCACTCATGAGCACTTCTTTTTTTTTTTTTTTCTGAGATAGAGTCTTGCTCTGCTGCCCAGGCTGGAGTGCAGTGGCACAATCTTGGCTTACTTCAACCTCCGCCTCCCTGGTTCAAGTGATTCTCCTGCTTTGGCCTCCCGAGTAGCTGGGATTACAGGCACGCACCATCACACTCAGCTGATTTTTGTATTTTTGGTAGACGTGGTTTAGGCTCAAGCAGGGTCCCTGCTATGTAAGTTAGAAAACAGAATAATATAATTGATATTTAGCCAATTTATTTAAATTTAGCAATGATAAAATTTCAGATATAATACTGAGCTTAAAAGCTATCTCGACAAAACCTTAAGGTGGAAAGGCATGCATGTGTCAACTGCTTTTCATATAAACCTGTCTTTTTTTTTCATGCAGTCATTCCAAAGCTAAGCATTTTTGGGTAACATTGGTCTTTGTGAAGAGCTTAGAAGATGACTCTGGATTTGGGAGGCTGAGGCGGGCAGATCACCTGAGGTTAGGAGTTCAAGACCAACCTGGCCAACATGGCAAAACCCTGTCTCTACTAAAAATACAAAAGTTAGGTGTGGTGGTGGGCGCCTGTAATCCCAGCTACTCAGGAGGCTGAGGCAGGAGAATTGCTTGAACCCAGGAGGTGGAGGTTGCAGCGAGCCGAGATTGTGCCATTGCACTCCTGGGCAATAAGATCGAAGCTCTGTCTCAATTAAAAAAAAAAAGGTGACTCTGGAATAACTGGGGAAGATTTGGGATATTTCTACCACATTTGCCTATACTTTATTGTGTGGTTTTTTTTTTGTTTGTTTGCTTTTTAACATCTAGACCTCAAGAAACACTCGTTCAGATGAAGACAAAGATGGCAACTGGGATGCTTGGGGCGACTGGAGTGACTGCTCCCGGACCTGTGGGGGAGGAGCATCATATTCTCTGCGGAGATGTTTGACTGGAAGGTTAGTGGTGGCTTCACTTGCTCCTGCATGTGGAATGTGCCAGTGCCTCTGGATGGGTGGAGAGGAGAGATAACTTTATATGGCTTTGGAATGTACTGTGATGATGGTGTAACGTTTGCTTTGTCTAAATATTAGTCAACCTAGGTTAACATATTTAAGCAGCCATGGTCCCGTTTTCGTGGGTGTGGCCATGTTGCGCACAGGACCCAGGAGCACTGGACACTTTGGGCTTTGAGGAAAGGAAATCCTGGCACTTTAAGTCACTGGTTTAAAGTTGTCAAGAGTTGGAGCAAGAGGTCAAGTCTTCTGAGTTCTGCCCTTGGGTTGCTGCAACTTAGTCCAGTTCTTGTTCATCTATTCTGAGCAACCCGTCGATTAGGAACATGATGCAAGTTCTGTTTTCACATTTTAGATATGTTTATGTTAAATAATGTTTGCAAAAATGTAAAATCAGCTTATTTTTAAAAATCTGTAAATTTGTAATAAGCCTGTGCTTATCATTGTTTTTGAGACACTTCAAGGTAATGCTTTATGGGACAGTTTAATTCCCAGTCAAGGATTTTGCATCAGCTCTTAGGTAAGAGAGAGCCCCAGATTGATGGAATCTGATGTGCTAGTCTTGTACAAAAGAAGATTCCAAGATTATGTCAGTCATCTTCAGATTTGGGATATTGTTAGGCAAAAGAGTAAATTGGCCTTTGCCGATTAGCTTCAAGATACAGAGTAGAAATGCAGGGAGAGCATATTTTGGCTGGAGTTTGGATTTTGTTGAGGTCACTGTTCTACCATACATTAAACAGTGACCAAGTATGTCCTCCAGTTTCCTTGAGACATTGCAGAGCAGGGCAGATGAGAGATTGTACATGTGGCCTTTGAGAAGAAAGACTCACCGGTCTGCTCCAGGAAGGCCTGGGAAGGTTGCTGGAGGTACTGTGGTAGCATTCCCCCAGGGCGAGTTCTAACTCAGAGCATGGAAGCTTCAGTAAAGCATTGGAGAACTAAATCCAGGGATTATTCTTGCAAAGAGAATGTGTTATGCCTGCTTCCCCATATTTCCACCTTGGTGAGCAGATATAGGCCCTGGTATTCTGTGTCATGCTGTGTAGAAGAATGATGGGGTATCATGTTGTTTTGGGATATATTTATTCTGCCAAGGAGGCTGCAATAGGAGAGCTACACCCTGTGGGCAAGGGGAGGAGGCTTTTTTTTTTTTTTGGAGATGGAGTCTCACTCTTGCCCAGACTGGAGTGCAGTGGTGGGATCTGGGCTCACTGAAACCTCTGTCTCCCAGGTTCACACAATTCTTCTGCCTCAGCCTCCCAAGTAGCTGGGATTACAGGTGCCTGCCACCATGCCTGGCTAATTTTTGTATTTTTAATAGAGATGGGGTTTCACCATATTGGCCAGGCTGGTCTTGAACTCCTGACCTGAATGATCCATCTGCCTCGGCCTCCCAAAGTGCTGGGATTACAGGCTTGAGCCACCATGCCCAGCCAGGGGGCTTCTTATGTCAAGGGTGAGTTCTTTCCCACTGCTGGCCAGCCACATGGGGGAGAAGTTTCCAGCCTGGGAATGAGTGGGGAAGGGAGAACTTTGACATCTCTTTCTAAACCTCAAGTCTCAGAAGTCTGAATAATTTGCAATTAGTGGTAGGGTTAGAGTGGGAAAGGTGTGGGATTTATTTGCATTGGTCTTTTTTTTTTTTCTAGTACGTACTTGCGTTTGTTAAAGAGAATTTAGAGGAATATATTAAGGACCATGAATAACCACTTTCATCCTATTGTCATACAACTAAAATGTTCGCATATTTATTTATTATTTGGTTCATTTTTAAAATTTCTTTGATTTTGCTTGGAACATAATTTTGCCAAGTGATATATCTCCAGAAGGCTGAAGGTAGGGAAGGGCAGTTGTTCAACTTCTTCCATCTTTTCTACTCGTACTCAGAAGGGGAGACTTGGGCAAAAGGAGAGGAAAGGGAGGCAGGAGAGTTCTTGGCTTTATTGTTGAGAGCAGGTATTGGTGTTCTCTGTTTGGCAAGTGTCTTAAGCTGACTGTTGTGAGCACTTTGATGGATTTTCTGAGAAATTGCCTTTGCCCTCCCAAATTCCTTGGGATTTCTTGCGTCCAATTCCCTTGAAATGTGCTATTCACAACACTTTGGCTTGGTAATATTGCTCTTTCCTCAGCTCTGAGACTGCTAGACATGCCCCCAGCTTCTCCCTATTTACATGTGCTAACCCCTCTGTGGCCATCTTGGTAAGTTCCTAAGACAACCACATGCTGGCACTCATGCACGTGCCCACATCTGGTTCACAGGAAACCCTCACGTAAACTTTGCTAAACAAACTCTTCAAGTCCAGGGAGCCAGTGCTGCAACACCTACTCTGCTTACATGGGCTGCTGCAGCTGTTCTCTCAGCCCTTAAATTTCTCAGGTGTGAATTAAACACCAAGCAACTGTTGGTGACACATATTGAACTCTTCAAGTGGTATCCTTAAAATTTCTTCCTCTTGATTTGGGGTTAGCAGACTGAAGCCCTCATCCCTTCTCCTTGATGGTGCAGAATGAGAGGTAGGCTCACAGCACACCTTTCTCAATGAAATCCTCAGAAGTTCTTCCTGTAAGTCTCTGGCTCCAGAACCTTTTAATTCCCTTGATGTGGGTAAGGAGTTTAACTCCAGTGAATTAAACTAACACATATCCTGCCTTCAAGGTTCTTATATCTAAGGAGACAAACAATAAACAAACAATCAAATTATATATAATTAAAAATTATGTCACTGGCCAGGCACAGTGGCTCACGCCTGTAATCCCAGCACTTTGGGAGGCCGAGGCGGGTGGATCACCTGAGATCAGGAGTTTGAGACCAGCCTGACCAACATGGAGAAAGCCCATCTCTACTAAAAATACAAAATTAGCTGGGCATGGTGGCACATGCCTGTAATTCCAGCTACTGAGGAGGCTAAGGCAGGAGAATTGCTTGAACTCGGGAGGTGGAGGTTTCAGTGAGCTGAGATTGCGCCATTGCACTCCAGCCTGGGCAATAAGGGCGAAACTCCGTCTCAAAAAAAAAAAATTGTGTTAAGAAAATCCATAAAATGGTCAGGGAAGCCCTCTGTGCTGGGGCATGTTTATGCTGAGATATTACTGCTAAGAAGAAATCAGTTATGTGATGGGAAGGGTTATGAGACCAAAAAAGTTCAGATAGTGGGAGCAGCATATGTAAGTATCCTGAAGCAGGAAATGAAAACAGCCTTTTATGCCTGCAGAACAATTAGATGAGAGTGAGCAGAATGGCAGTCCCCTGCTGACTGCCACTGCAGACAGAGCCTTGGTGGGCACAGAGTCAGCCAGCATCCCACCCTGGGCTAACACTGTGCAGAGAACAGTGGATCCTACCCCACCCTGAGCAACCACTCCTACTTGTGGGGCACACAGAAGGCACTCAGACCTGCATCTGCCAGTGCCCCGCCCCTGAGCCAACACCACCTCCAGCATGACTGAACACACAGTCACCAACAGGGGCCTCCTGCCCACCCCTAGCTGCACTGCCTCTGCCATTGTGGTGAATGCCTACAGAGAGGCAGGACCCCCGGCACCTGGTAGCACTCCACCGTAGCTGCCACTACCACTGCTGCTGATATGTGCAAATGAGTATGGATCCCACTGTCATCAAGCTGTGAAATGCTTTGGCTGACATCAGCCATCAGAGTGTAATGACCGGCAGTCCAAAAACATTTTGGCCCCTGCAGTGCAGTGGATTCCTAACATCAAGGAGCCAGAGAACAAAGTTGGGGCCCAATACAAGTACCCCAGAATTAGAACATCCAGTCCAGGTATTGGGAGCTGAGTGTTGGCCCCCTAAAATCTTTCATAAATGAAGCCAGTTGGCTGAATCCACCTTATACTAGAATCAAGCCCTCAAGGTCATTAAAAAAATAGGATAAAAGAAACAAAATTATGCAAAAAGTCAGCAACCTCGAGGATTAAAGGAAGATAAGCCCACAAAGATGAGAAAGAATCAGCACAAGAACCCTAACAACTCAAAAAGCCAGAGCACCTTCTTTCCAACAGATGACCACCTTGCCTCTCCAGCAAGTGTTCTGAACCAGGTTGAGATGGATGAAGTGACAGAAACAGAGTTCAGAATATGGACAGAAATGAAGATCCTTGAGCTATAGCAGTATGTTGAAACCCAGTCCAAGGAAGCTAAAAACCATTATAAAACAATACTGGAACTGGCAGACCAAATAACTAGTATAGGAGTGTGTAACTGAACTGAGAGAGCTGAAAAACACCATACAAGAATTTCGTAATGCAATCACAAGTATTAATAGCAGAATAGACCAAGTGGAGGAAAGAATCTAAGAGCTTGAAGACTGGCTTTCTGAAATAAGACAGTCAGACAAGAATAGAGAAAAAAGAATGAAAGGAATGAACAAAACCTTTGAGAAATATGAGATTATGTAAAGAGACCAAATCCATGACTTACTGGTGTCCCTGAAAAAGAGGGGGATAATGGAACCAACTTGGAAAACATGTTTCAGGATATCATCCATGAGAACTTCATGGATGAACCCAACTAGCTAGACAGGCCAACATTCAAATTCAGGAAATGCAGAGAACCCCAGTAAAATACTTCCCAAGAAGATCATCCCAAGAGACATAGCCATTAGATCCTCCAAGGCTGAAATGAGAAAAAATGTTAAAGACAGAGAGAAAGGTCAGGTCACCTACAAAGGGAAGTCCATTGACTAACAGCAGACTTCTCAGCTGAAACCTTACAAGCAAGAAGAGATTCTGGGCCAGTATTCAACATTCTTAAAATAAATTCCAACCCAGAATTTCATATCCAGCCAAATTAAGCTTCATAAGTGAATGATGAATATGATCCTTTTTAGACAAGCAAATGCTGAGATAATTTATTACCATCAGATCTGCCTTATAAGAGCTCCTGAAGGAAGCACTAAATATGGAAAGGAAAGACCATTACCAGCCACTACAAAAACATACTGAAGAATACAGACCAGTGACACTATAAAGCAACCACATAAACAAGTCTGCAAAATAACCAGCTAACATCATAATGACAGGATCAAATCCGTACATATCAATACTAACCTTGAATGTAAGTGGGCTAAATGCCCCAATTAAAAGACACAGAGTAGCAAGCTGGATAAAGAACCAAGACCCATTGGTATGCTTGTCTTCAAGAGACCCATCTCACATGCAGTGACACACATAGGCTCAAATAAAGGGATGGAGAAAAATCTACCAAAAAAATGGAAAACAGAAAAAAAGCAGAGGTTGCAATCCTGGTTTCACACAAAACAGACTTTAAACCAGAAAAATTTAAAAAGACGAAGGGTATTACTTAATGGTAAAGGGTTCAATTCACAAGAAGACCGAACTATCCTAAATATATATGCACCCAACACAGCAGCACCCAAATTCATAAAGCAAATTCTTAGAGACCTTCAAAGAGATTTAGACTCCCTCACAGTAATAATAAAAGACTTTAACACCCCACTGACAATACTAGACAGATCATCAAGACAGAAAATTAACAAAGATATTCAGGACCTGAACTCAGCACTGGATCAAATGAACCTGATAGACATCTACAGAACTCTCTACCCCAAAACAACAGAATATACATTCTTCTCATCACCACATGGCACTTACTCTAAAATTGATCACACAATTGAAAGTAAAACACTCCTCAGCAAAGGCAAAAGAACTGAAATCATAAAAAACAATCTCGGCTGGGTGCAGTGGCTCATGCCTGTAATCCCAGCACTTTGGGAGGCCGAGGTGGGAGGATCACAAGGTCAGGAGATCGAGACCATCCTGGCTAACACAATGAAACCCCGTCTCTACTAAAAATACAAAAAATTAGCCGGGCGTGGTGGCAGGTGCCTGTAGTCCCAGCTACTCTGGAGGCTGAGGCAGGAGAATGGTGTGAACCTGGGAGGCAGAGCTTGCAGTGAGCCGAGATCGCAACACTGCACTCCAGCCTGGGCAACAGAGCAAGACTCCATCTCAAAAAAAAAAAAAAAAAAAAAGGAAAAACAATCTCTCAGACCACAGCACAATCAAATTAGAAAACAAGACTAAAAAAATCACTTAAAACCATACAATCACATGGAAATTGAATAACTTGCTTCTGAATGACTTTGGGGTAAATAATGAATTTAGGGCAGAAATCAAGAAGTTATTTGAAACTAATGAGAACAAAGATACAACATGCCAGAATTTCTGGGACACAGCTAAGGCAATGTTAAGAGGGAAATTTGTAGCACTAAATGCCCACATCAAAAAGTTAGAAAGATCTCAATTTAACAACATAACATCACAACTAAAAGAACTAGAGAACCAAGAGCAAACCAATCCCAAAGCTAGCAGAGACAAGAAATAAATCAGAGCTGAACTGAAGGAGATTGAGAGACAAAAAAACCATTCGAAAGATCAATGAGCCGGGTGTAGTGGCTCACGCCTGTAATCCTAGAGCTTTGGGAGGCTGAGGCGGGTGGATCCCCTGAGGTCAGGAATTCAAGACCAGCCTGACCAACATGGTGAAACCCTGTCTCTATTAAAAATACAAAAATTAGCTGGGCATGGTGGCGGGCACCTGTAATGCCAGCTACTTGGGAGGCTGAGGCAGGAGAATCACTTGAATCCAGGAGGCAGAGGTTGCAGTGAGCCAAGATCCTGCCATTGCACTGCAGCCTGGGCGACAAGAGTGAAACTCCATTAAAAAAAAAAAAAAACAAACTTCTCAATAAAGTAGGTATTCAAGGAATATACATCAAAATAATAAGAGCCATCTATGACAAACCCACAGTCAACATCATACCAAGTGGGTGAAAGCTGGAAGCATTCCCCTTGAATACCAGCACAAGACAAAGATGCCCTCTCTCACTACTCCTATTCAACATAGTGCTGGAAATTTTGGATGAGGCAATCAGACAAGAGAAAGAAATAAAGATCATTTAAATAGGAAGAGAAGAAGTTAAACTATCCCTGTTGGCAGATGACATATCCTATATCTGGAAAACCCCATAGTCTCAGGCCAAAGGCTCCCTAAGCTGATAACTTCAGCAAAGTCTCAGGATACAAAATCAATGTGCAAAAATCATTAACATTCTTATACACCAACAGTCAAGCCAGGAGCCAAATCAGGAACACAATCCCATTGACAGTTGTCATACACACAAAATAAAATACCTAGGAATACAGCTAACCAGGGAGGTAGAATATTTCTACAAGGATAACTACAAAACACCACTTGAAGAAATCAGAGATGACACAAGCAAATGGAACAACATCCTATGCTCATGGATAGAAAGAATCAATATTGTTAAAATGGCCATACTGCCCAAAGCAATTTATAGATTCAATGCTATTTCTATTCAAGTAACATTGAAATTATTTACAGAACTAGAAAAAAAAAACTATTTTAACATCCATATGGAACCAAAAAACAGCCTGAATAGCCAAGGCAGTCCTAAACAAAAAGAACAAAGCTGGAGGCATCATGCCGCCTGACTTACAGCTATACTTCAGGGCTACAGTAATCAAAACATCATGATACTGGTGCAAAGATGGACACATAGACTAATGGAACAAAATAGAAAACCTAGAAATAAGGCCACACACCTACAACTTCTGATCTTGACAAACCTGACAAAAAAACAAGCAATGGAGAAAGGATTTCCTATTCAATAATTGGTGCTGGGATAAATGGGTAGTCATATGCAGAAGATTGAAACTGGATCAATTCTATACATCATATACAAAAATTAACTCAAGATGGATTAAATACTTAAATGTAAAACCCAATACTATACAAACCCTGGAAGACGATACCATTATGGACATTGGAATGGGCAAAGATTACATGAGGAAGACACCAAAAGCAGTTGCAATAAAAGCAAAAATTGAAAAATGACATCTAATTAAACTAGTAAGTTTCTGCATAGCAAAGGAAACTATCAATAGAGTGAACAGACAGCCTATAGAATGGGAGAAAAATTTTGCAAACTATGTATCTGACAAAGGAACTTAAATTTACAAGAAAAAAACAAACAACTCCATTAAAAAGTGGGCAAAGGACATGAACAGACATTTTTCAAGAGAAGACGTGGCCAAAAGTCATACGAGAAAAAAGCTCATAATTGATCATTAGAGAAATAAAAATCAAAACCACAATGCGATAACATGTCACACCATTCAGACTGGCTGTTACTAAAAAGTCAATAAGTAACAGATGCTGGTGAGATTGTGGAGAAAAGGGAACATTTATACGCTGTTGGTGGGAGTGTAAATTAGTTCAACCTTTGTGGAAGACAGTGTAGTGACTGCTCAGAGACCTAAAAACAGAAATAACCGTTAGACCCAAAAATCCCATTACTGGGTATATATGCAAAGTAATATAAATCATTTAATTATAAAGACACTTGCATGTATGTGTTCACTGCAGCACTATTCACAATAGCAAAGACATGGAATCAACCTAAATTCCCATCACTTAAAGACTGGGGTCAGGTGTGCTGGCTCATGCCTGTAATCCCAGCACTTTGGGAGGCTGAGGTGGGTGGATCACTTGAGGTCAGGAGTTCCAGACCAGCCCGGCAAACATGGTGAAACCACATCTCTACTAAAAATACAAAAATTAGCCGGGCATGGTGACGGGTGCCTGTAATTCCAGCTACTCAGGAGGCTCAAGCAGGAGAATCTCTTGAACATGGGAGGTGGATGTTGCAGTGAGTAGAGATCATGTCACTGTATTCCAGCCTTGGTGACAGAGTGAGACTCCTCCTCCTCAAAAAACAAATTGTAAACTGGATAAAGAAAATGTGGTACATATGCCCTGGAATACTATGCAGCCATAAAAAAATGAGATCATGTCTTGTGCAGGAACATGGATGAAGCTGGAGGCCATTATCTTTAGCAAACCAATGCAGGAACAGAAAACCAAATACCACATGTCATCACTTAAAAGTGGAAGCTAAACTATGAGAACACATGGACACATACAGGGGAACAACATTCACTGGGACATATTGGAGGGTGGAAGGTGAGAGGAGGTAGAGGATCAGGAAAAATAACTAATGAGTACTAGACTTAATACTTGGGTGACAAAATAATCTGTCCAACAAACCCCCATGGGAAAAGTTTACCTATATAACAAGCCTGCACATGTACCTCTGAACTTAAAATAAAGGTTAAATTATAAAAGAAAGAGCAATGGATAGCGTATATATATATATATATTATATGTATATATACACACATATATATTATATATACATATATTATATATATACATATTATATATACACATATATATTATATATACATATATACGTATATATTATATATATATACTGTTTAGCGCAATATGTTTTCTGGAGTTTAAATGTATGTAGAACTTTAAAAACATAGAAACAATAATATAAAATTCAGAAGAGAGTAAAATTAATTTAAAGTGTTCAAATGTCCTTGAATTGTTCAGAAAAATGTAAAATAGACAATTTACCTTCAACTTTTAAAAGTCTGGGATGCACGTTCAATTTCTAAGGTTACCATTAAAAGCAAAATAAAACAATGTATAACTATTCAGATATCACAAGGGCAAATAGAATCATGCTAAAATACTTGATTGATCCAAAAGGGTTCAAGAAAGGAGAGAAAAAAGAACATAGTGCAATTGTGACAAATTCTAAAACAGTAGATTTGAACCCCAGAATATATATATTTTACATTAGATGTAAATGGACTAATTACTTTGGTTAAAAGACAAAAGATTGTTAGGCTATAAAACAAAATTTATGTGGTTTACTAGAGTCAAACCTTAAATACAAGGATACCGAAAGACTGAAAATAAAAGCATGGAAAAAAGCTATAATGTGAACCAAAATGAAAAGAAAATTGGTATACCTATACTAATATCAGACAAAGTAGAATTTAAAGGAAGAAGCATTAGCAGAAATAGAGGAATCATGAAAATATATTAAAACATGGGGATACATCTAAATTCACCCATATACGGAAGTTTAATAGCCCTGAATACACATATTAGAAAAGAAAAATTGGTTGAAAAAAAAAAGTGGTGCAAGCTGCCATTTAAGAAGTTAAAAAAAAAGGAAGAGCAAATTTTAAAAGTATCTGCATATATACTCTGTGTGTGTGTGTGTGTGTGTGTGTGTGTCTCCACATTCCTTTACTTCAAATATCAGGGATCTGGATTAGAGTCAAAGTTTGATCAAGTCCCTTGCAAATTCAGTTATGGCTGCCTGTGGGAAAAATACCCTTCTTCTGCCTAAAGAGTTGCTGCTTTAGACCTATTGCAGCTTTATGTTATTATGGGGACTGAATAGGAAGCTGCAGTTGAAGGCATTCACAAGAAAAAACATTGCCTTTGTGTCAGTGAATCTCGTTTTTTATTATTTTGTGGCTTTCCTTCATTTGGAGATAGTTTCTGGAGTGTCTGCATTTTATTTCATCTCTCCAGAATACCCTGTCCCACGTAGGCACTGAGTGTTTTACAGGGACCCTCATTGAGTGAGACCTTATGTGCCCTTACACTTTTGTCTTAGACTAACTGCCCCTATGCCACTGATTGGCAGGAATTGGCTATATCATCTGCCACTCTAATGTAGTGGGAATTTGTGGATTCTCCTGTGGATCTCTTCTTTACTTCAAAGGCAGACTTCTCCTTTATGTACAGTGAATAGTTTATGTACTCTCTTTTAATTCAGTCTTGCTTACCCTATGTATAGCAATAATCACCTAAAGTTTCTGCCTTGTGTATAACTTCTGTGAATTTCCAGGTACGATACAGAGTTATTCACTTATTAACATACTATCATTTCAATGGGAATTTGTAAGGGGGAAGTTCAATATATACGCTCAGATTACAATCTCTATTTAAAATCTTTCCTCCTCTCTCCATTTTCCTTAAATTTTTCCCTGAAATTTTACCTCTGCTAATTTGGAAATTATACACATATCTTGTTTTTATTTTACTGATATTAAATATATACTTAAAAACCACATTTTAATAATTATTTTATAACTATCTCTGTCATTAGTAATTTCTTTTGATTTCTCCTTATGTAAAATGATGATTACTTAGGCTTTTTTTTCTTTATTCCCATTTCTTGAGTTTATTATTAGAATTTGGGATTTTATCTTCAGTTTATTGGCAGTTTTTTTCTTTATATCTTTTCTTTCATGGTAGTCAAAGCATGGTTGAAACTTAATTGTGTGTGTGTATACATTATTTCAACACTCATTGTCTATCTTAATTGTGTGTGTGTGCACACAAGCAGCATTATTTCAATGCTGATTGTCAATTGCTGCTTTGAGTCCCCATTTCTTCCTTTGAGCATTCAGTTCTTCAGGTTGAATGATAGCTTTGTTGGCAGAGATACATTTTGAGCTGTGCTTCTGGAATTTTAGTGTGCATATGAATCACCTAGGCATCTTGTTAAAATACAAACTTTGATTCAGTAGATCTGGAATGAGGCCCAAGAGCTTTCATTTCTAACAGATTCCCAGGTGATGTCAGTGCTGCCTGTCCATGGACCACACTTCAAGCAGCAAAATTTTATAGACTTTTTAATTTCAGGAAAAAGTTGTAGGTCTTATACTTTATGAGTTCTTATATATCTGAAAATGACTTTTTCTTGCTTTCACACATAAACAGTGAATGGCTTATTTGAGTATAAAATTCCTAAGATACAACCTTTTCCTTTTAAGACTTGGTAGTTCCTTTCCCATAAAGCTTGGTGTACGGTGTTGCTTATAGACCTCCCAGGCCAGCTGGTTTTTTTGTAGATAACCTATTTTTTAGATAACCTGTCTGCCCATAGGAGTCTTTATTTTTTCCCTTAAGTTCAAGAGTTTTACAAGGCCATGTCTAGCTGTCAGTGTCATAATATTTATTTTACCCTGGCACATGGTGACCAACTTTTTGGTACAGATTTAGATCCTTCTCTATGGTAGGAAGATTTTTCTTCTATTATATTATTCACTGTTGGTTCTTACCCATTTGTTTTGGCTTTTTCTTCATGAATACCAGTAATTTCTGTCTGTCTTTCACATTTATCATGTTCTCTTTAATTACTTTCCTCTTTTTTTTTTCTTTTTCTGTGCACGTAGGGGTGATTTTCAAGCTGTCATATGAACTTTTTTTCTTTTTTTGAGACAGTCTCACTCTGTCACCCAGGCTTGAGTACAGTGGTGCGATCTCAGCTCACTGCAACCTCTGCCTCCTAGATTCAAGTGATTCTTCTGCCTCAGCCTCCCACGTAACTGCAGTTACAGACGTGTGCCACCACACCTGGCTGATTTTTGTTTTTAGTAGAGATGGGGTTTCACCATGTTGGCCAGGTTGGTCTCAAACTCCTGACCTCAAGTGATCTGCCCGCCTCAGCCTCCCAGAGTGCTGGGATTACAGGTGTGCACCACCACATCCACCTAATTTTTGTGTTTTTAGCAGAGATGGAGTTTCACCATGTTGACCAGGCTGGTCTCAAATTCCTGACCTCAAGTGATCCACAGTCCTCAGACTTCCAAAGTGTTGGGATTACAAGCGTTAGCCACCACGCCTGGTTTGAACTTTTTTTCTGATCTGTTAACTTCTAGTGGAGTTCTTTGTTTATTTTTATGGGTACATAGGTGTATATATTTATGTGAGATATTTTGATGCAGTAATACAATGCATAATAATCACAGCAAAGTAAATGGGGTATTCGTCCCTTTAAGGATTTATCATTTCTTTGTGTTATATACATTCTAATTATACTCTTTTAGGTATTTTAAAATGTACAATAAATGGTTGTTGACTGTAATCACCCTATTGTGCAATCAAATACTAGATCTTATTCATTCTATTGAACTATGTTTTTGTACCCAACCTAGTGACGTTTTAAATACTGCTATGGCATTATTTATTACCTAATATTCTTTCCTTCGCTTCAAACCTGCCGCTTTTATGTGTCTGTTGTTTTAACCACCTGCGTCTTATCCTGTATTTTTTTGTCTATTTTTAGTGTGATATCTGGCTAATTCTTACTTATTCTTCAAGGTCATGCTCTTTTAGGAAGCCTATCTTGACTGGTTAAACTTTGGTCTTCCTGTGTTGTGCTTCCATTATAGTACTAAATGGAATATAGTACTAAATGGAATATAGTACTTGCATCCATTATAGTACTAAAATTGTTGGCAAATTAGGACCTGTTTTTGAGAAGGGATAATGACTTCATCATTCCGAGATCTGACATAGTTTCTTACATGTGATGAGGACCCAAATAGCATTTATTGAAGGAGTAAATAAATGAGTGTGTGCTCACTATCGCCTTGCATCTTTTGCCAATGCTCTTCTTTCCGCCTAAATCATCCTTTTCTCCTTGTTCTGGTTGACACATGGTTGATCATAAAAATGCCTTTTGAGTCCTCATTTCTTCCTTTTGCATTCATTGGCAATTCTCACTCTTTACTAGGACAGGGGCGACTCTTCTAGTGTTTCCGTAGGATCTCATGAATACCGTTGTGAGAGTGTTTATTCCGCTGTATTGTTTTATTTTTCTGTTTCCACAATTGAGACAAAATTTTAGGTGGCATAGATGGTGTAATTCATCTCTTTATGCTGTGCCCACATGATTATTGATGTATGGTATAAATTTAATACATTTTATTCCATAAATTAATAGAGAAATGAAGTAATGTATTTCTGGGTTGATAAAAAAACTCCATGACTATAGTATGGGTCTGTGGGATAGGTAAGGATGGGTAATTCTATGAAGAATATTGAAAACTATGTTGGGGAGTATGGACTTTTAACAAATATTTAAAAACATCATTTTTTTCAACAATGTACATGTATATAGTTTAAAGAGCCAAATGACTCATGTAGGCTTGAGGTGAAAAACAACAGCCTCTTGATTCCCTTCCTCCCATTTCCTCACCCACCAGGGGCAACTACTGTTAACAATTCTATCTGATTCTCTTGGTGTTTTATCCACATTTCTAAATAACATGTTTATATTGCTGCTTCTTGATCTTTCAGTTGTAGGCACTACGCATTAGAGTCATACTATAGATGAAGATTTAACAATTTTTCACACCTCCTGCTCCTTTCTCTTCCTTTCTCTCTCCCCCTCCCCCTCCTCTTTCTCCTTTCTCAACCTCTCCCTCCAGTCTGTCTTCCAGTCCCATACCCCAGAGTTTTATATAACTTTGACTGGGCCAATATGCAGTTTTTAAATTATTATGAAGGCATATTATTATTAATGCCTTCATTAAACTATTATGAAGGTATATTATTATTATAAAGACATGTTATTAAATTATGCCTCTATACTATTCACAGCTATGTCATGTAATATACAGCAATTATTTTCCCTTTCCTGAGTTTTTTTTCCACTAGAGTCAATAATTACCTTGCTTTTTTATTTGCTTGTTTTCTTAGTTTTTACATGCTTATCACTAATTCAGAAAAATGTCATCATTCTAATTTTCACTTCACTAATTTCATTCACTTTTCTAATTTTCATTCACTTTAATTTTCTTTTAGACCCTTCTTCTGGAGAATTCTTAACCTTTAGCTGAGCTACTTGCTGTCTAACAAGAAATTCAGGAGGCATCTTGGAATCTCATTTTTCTGTCATCCTGGGAGGGTCATTTACTTCTTTCCTGTGTTAGATCTCCTGTTTCCTAATCACCTTCCTTTTTCCTCCTCATTTTTATGGATACATTCTCCAGAAGCTTCCTGCTTATCTGAAAAGATCTTTATTTTCTTCTCAAACTTGAATGATGATTTTTCCATATATATAGTTATGTAGAAATGATTTTCCCTCAGAAATTTGAAGGCTTTGCTCCATATTCTAACATCAAGTAATGTTACTGAGAAATCTAAAGGCATCTGGATTGCCTGCTCTTTTTTCCTCCTCTCTGGATGCATGTAGAAACATACATTTTCCCCCAGTGTTCTGAAATTTCCTAACGTTATGCCTTGGTGTGGGTCTATGTTCATTTGTTGTATTGGACACTCAGAGAGTCCTTCACTATAAAAACTCATTCTCTTCAGTCCTGAAATATTTCCTTGATGATTTCTTCTATTCATTTTCCTCTATTTTCTTTTCTTTTTTTCTTTTTGTTTTTTTGAGACAGAGTCTTGCTCTTGTCACCCACGCTGGAGTGCAGTGGCTTGATCTTGGCTCACTGCAGCCTCCGCCTCCTGGGTTGAAGCAACTCTCCTGCCTCAGCCAGCCAAGTAGCTGTGACTACAGGCACGTGCCACCATGCCTGGCTAATTTTTGTATTTTTTAGTAGAGATGGGGTTTCACCATGTTGGCCAGGTTGGTCTCAAACTCCTGACCTCAGGTGATCTGCCAGCCTCAGCCTCCCAAAGTGTTGGGATTACAGGCATGAGCCACCACACCCAGCCGTGTTCCTCTGTTTTCTTGTTGAAACTCCCATTATTCAGATATTAGATCTTCCAGTTTTCTCTTTGTTCATTTGCCCTGCCTTCCAGGAGATTTATCTAAATTTATTTTTTCACTCTCTTTACTAAGTATTTTATCTCTTTCTATACATATATTTTTTCCTGAGTTATTTTTTGTTCCTTGAATTTTTAGGAATAGAATTCTGTCCCTGATTCCCAGATGCAGTATCTTCTGTTTCATCTCTGAGAGTATGAATAGACATTTGGGAGGAAAATTTTTTTCACCTTGCATAGTCTCAGTTCCTCCCAAATTGCTGTTTTCTTTTAAATTTTTTTTTTGTCACTGTATTTAAGGTTAGAGGTCTTTCTGAGATTTCTGGTGATCCTTGTTTGTTTATTCAAGTTTAAGGAAAGGAGCTATGAGCTTAACTGGAGGGAGATGTGGCCAGTACATCTCATTGCCTGATGATGTCTTTAGGTGTTCTATTTTGAAATGCTTTGATTTCCCAGTGAAGGCCCTTCTGAGTCCAATATTTTAGGAACCAAGTGAGGCAGAAAGCTGGGATCTCAGCATTAAATACATTAATTTGTATTTAATCCCTGTTTTCAGTATAGTACTCTTGCCCTTAGTTGTACCCAGTTATCTCTTGGTCCAGAAAATTACTGTTTTACCCTCTTTAGATAATAACATACAGTCATGCCAAAGTAAGGGAGGTCAGCTGGAAATTTAATCTCTTTTTAAACAGACTTTCAATCAGTCATACTGTTTTGACCCCAACTTTATCCTGCTTTCAAAAGTATCTGATTTACCACTTCTGAAGTCTTTTGTGAGTTCTGCAGAGCTAATTGAGTTGCTTCTAGGAATTCCCCACTGCCATCTTAGGATTTACCTTTTTCTGGGGCTGAGAAATCAAAAGATATCCTTAATATGAAATAAGTAATTTAAATAACACCATAATTATTACAGAAAATTGAATTTATAGTATAAAAACTCTCTCTCCTCAATCTTAAGGCCTAGATGGTTTCACTGGCAAATTCTACCAAGCATTTAAAGGAGAATTTACAACAATTCCATATAATTTCTTCCAGAAAACAGAAGAGAAGGAATACTTTCCAATTCATTTTATGGATCTAGTATGACTTTGATACCAAACCATACAAAGACTATATAAAGAAGAAAACAACAAACCAATATATCTCATGAATATAGAAGTAAAAATTATTAATACAATCCTGTCAAAAGTATTAAGAAAGATATAAAAGGAATTATAGACCATAACCAAATGGGGTTTATTAGAGGAATGTAAGGCTGTTTCAGTATTTGAAAGTCAATCAATGTAATCTAGCTAATTAATAGACTAAGGAAGAAAAAATGTATAGGATCTTATCAATTGATACAGAAAAAATATTTGACAAAGTCACCAATTCATGAAGAACTCTCAGAAAAATAGAAACAGATATCAGCTTGATAAAAAATTTAAGAACCTTTAACTAATATTGTATATTATAATTGATGGTGAAAGACTGAACACTTTCCCCCTAAGGTATAGAATAAGGTAGGGTTGTCTGTCTCACCACTCTTACCATAGGAGAAGAAAAATACAACTGTCTTTATTTGCAGATGACATTTTTGTCTACGTAGAAAATCCCAAGAAATCTACAAGGTAACTTCTAAAACTAACAAGTGAGTCTGGCAAGGTCCTGGATACAAAATAAAAATACAGAAATCAATTGTATTTCTCTTACTAGTGATGAGCACATAGATAACAAAATTTAAAAATACAGTGCCATTAATAATCATTCAGAAAAGTTAAATGCTAAGGTGTAAATCTAACAGAACATGTATAGGACTTGTACGCCTAATACTGCAATGTGCTAATGAAAGAGGAACCCTAATAAAATACCTAGGAATACATTTAGCCAAGGAGGTGAAAGATCTCTACAATGAAAACTGTAAAACACCGATGAAAGAAATGGAAGAAGACACAAATAAATGGAACAATATTCCACATTCATAGATTGGAAAAAATAATATTAAAATGTTGATACTACCCAAAGTGATCTACAGATTCAGTGTAATCTCTGTCAAAATCTGTCACATTCTTCACAGAAATAGAAAAAAACAATCTTAAAATTTGTATGGAACCATAAAAGACCTCAAATAAATTAAGCAATCTTGATCAAAAAGAACAAATCCGGAGGCGTTATACTACCTGACTTCAAAATGTGCTACAAAGCTGTAGTAAGCAAAACACAATGGCAATGGCATAAAAACAGACAGGTTGTCCGATGGAACAGTATACAGAGCTCTGAAATAAGTCCACACATTTACAGCCAACTGATTTTTTACAAAGGTGTCAAGAACACAGGGAAAAGACAATTGTCTCTTCAATAAATGGTGTTGGGAAAACTAGATATCCACATGAAGAAGAATGAAATTATTTCATACCATATAGAAAAATCAACTAACGCCAGGCGCAGTGGCTCACGCCTGTAATCCCAACACTTTGGGAGGCCGAGGCGGGCAGATCACGAGGTCAGGAGATCGAGACCATCCTGGCTAACATGGTGAAACCCCATCTCTGCTAAAAGAATACAAAAAAATTGCCGGGCATGGTAGCGGGCGCCTGTAGTCCCAGCTACTCGGGAGGCTGAGGCAGGAGAATGGCGTGAACCCAGGAGGCTGAGCTTACTATGAGCTGAGATGCGCCACTGCACTCCAGCCTGGGCGACAGAGTGAGACTCTGTCTCAAAAAAAAAAAAGAAAAAGAAAAATCAACTAAAAATAGATTAAAAATTAAAATGTAAGAAATTTAGCATCCGGAAGAAACAGAAGAAAAGCTCTATGACATTTGTCTGGGAAATGATTATTTTACACATGACCCCAAAAGCCAGAAAAATATGGACAAATGGGATTACATCAAACCAAAATGCTTCTGTACAACAAAGGAAACAATCAACAGAGAGAAGAGATAACCTACAGAATGGGAGAAAGTATTTGCAAGCTATGCATCTGCCATGGGGTTAATATCCAAAATATATGACAAACTCAGTAGCAAGAAAAAAATAACCTGATTAAAAAATGGGCAAAGGACCCAAATAGACATTTCTTAAAAGATATACATAGGATGAACATGGAAGACAGTATTTAAGTGATGTAAGCCAAAAGATATATGAACAAATGCTCAACATCAGTAATTATCAGGGAAATGCAACCTAAACCACAATGAGGTATCATCTCACACCTGTTAGGATGGCTATTAAAAAAACAAAAGACAACAAGTATTGGCAAGGATGCAGAGAAAAGGGAACCCTTGCACCCTGTTGGCGAGAATGTAAATTGGTACAGCTACTATGAAAAACAGTATAAGCGTTCCTCAAGATATTAAAACTAGAGATATCAGTTGGGCTTATGCCTGTAATCCCAGCACTTTGGGAGGCTGAGGCGGGTGGAGCAACTGAGGTCAGGAGTTAGAGACCAGCCTGGCCAACATGGCAAAACCCTGTCTCTACTAAAGATACAAAATTAGCCAGGCATGGTGGCACATGCCTGTAATCCCAGCTACTCAGGAGGCTGAGGCAGGAGAATCGCTTGAACCTGGGAGACAGAGGTTGCAGTGAGTCGAGATTGTGCCACTGCACACCATGCACACCAGCCTGGGCAACAGAGTGAGACTCTGTCTCAAAAAAAAAAAAAAAATCATATGATCCAGCAGTCTCACTATTGGATATATATCCAAAGGAAATGAAATCAAGATATCAAAGAGATATCTGCACTTCCATGTTTGTTGCAGTGTTTTCAAAATAGCCAAGGTGTGGAAACAACTAAGTGTCTATCAGTGAATGAATGGTTAAAGAAAATGGTATATATACACAATATAATACTATTCAGCCATGAAAAATGAAGGAAATCCTATTATTTGTGACAATGTGGATGAACATGGAAGACAGTATTTAAGTGACGTAAGTCAGGCACAGGAAGGCAAATACCACATAATCTCACTCATATGTAGACGCTAAAAAAGTTGATCTCGTAGAAAAAGAGAGTAAAAAGGCAGTTGCTAGGGGTTAAGATGGTTGAGGAGGGGAGTTGAGGACATGTTGGTGGAAGGATACAAAATTTCAGTTAGGTAAGAGGAATAAGTTTAACAGAACTATTGTGCAACAGTGTCATTGTAGTTAATATATTGTATTATTGAAAATTGCTGAGACCGGATGTTAAGTATTATCACCACAAAAATAACTGTGAGATAATGGATATGTTAGTTTGATTTAGTCATTCCACAGTGTATAGATACTTGAAAACATCACATATTGTACACGATAAATACATACAATTTTATCTGTTGGTGTGTTGTTGTTGTTGTTGTTGTTGTTGTTGTTGTTTGAGATGAAGTCTCGCTTTGTTGCCCAGGCTGGAGTGCAGTGGTGCGATCTCTGCTCACTGCAGCCTCCGCCTCCCAGGTTCAAGCGATTCTCCTTCCTCTACCTCCCGAGTAGCTGGGATTACAGGCATGCGCCACTATGCCTGGCTAATTTTTGTACTTTTGGTAGAGATGGGGTTTCACCATGTTGGAGAGGCTAGTCTTGAATTCCTGACCTCAAGTGATCTGCCTGCCTCAGCCTCCCAAAGTGCTGGGATTATGGGTATGTATCTGTTGATTTTTAAAAGATATTTTAAAAGAATAGAGTGGGAGGAATCAGCTTACTTAATATCAAGATTTACTATATGGCTGCAGTAATGAGAGCAGTGGTATTGGCAGAGGAATAAACAAATGAGATCAACGGGAGAAAATATTTGAAAATCACCTAACAAAGGACTAGTATCTCTATTAAGAACTCTCAAATATCAACAATTAAAAATCAAACATTCTAATTAGAAAATGAACAAAGGACACGAATGGATATTTTACCCAAGAGAATACATAGATGGCAAATAAGCACACAAAAGTATGTTCAACACTACTGGCTATTAAGGAAATGCAAATTAAAACTGCAATAAGATATCATTACCTACCTATCAGAATAGCTTTCAAAAGGTTCACAACAAGAAATACTGGCAAGGATGCAGAGGAAGAGTGTTACTCATACATTGGTTCTGAGAATGTAAAATGATACAGCCATTCTGGAAAATAGGCAGTTTCTTTTAAAAAAATAAACATGCAACTACCATACAACTCAGCAATTGCACTCCTGGGCATTTTTCTCAGATAAATGAAGACTTAGGTTCACAATAAAACCTGTACATGAATGTTTATGCCAGTTTTACTCACAGTGGCCAAAAGGTGGAAACAATCCCAATGCCCTTTAGTGGGTGAATCATTAAACAAATGGTGTTACATCCATACCAGGGAGTGCTACACAGCCGTAAATGGAAATGAACCATTGATAAACACAACAATCTGGATGAATCTCCAGAAAATTACAATGAAGTTATAAAAATCCAATCTCTAAAGCTTACATACTGTATTTCACTTATGTAATATTCTTGAAATGACAGAAATTATAGAAATGGAGAACAGTAGTTGCTAGGTGTTAAGGAAGAGGATAGGGTGGGGGGGAGGAGATGCAGCTATAAAAGGCAACTTGCAGGATTCTTGTGATGATAGAAATGTTCTGTACATTACCTGTATTAATATCAGTCTCCTAGTTGTATTCTTGTAGCAGAGTTTTGCAAGATGATACCTTTGAGGGATCCATGGGGTCTCTTTTTATTATTTTCCTACAAATGCATGTGATTTACAATTATTATTATTATTATTTGAGATGGAGTCTCACTCCGTTGTCCAGGCTTGAGTACAGCGGCACAATCTCGGCTCACTGCAACCTCTGCCTCCTGTATTCAAGCAATTCTCCCACCTCAGCCTCCCAAGTAGCTGGGATTACAGGTGCACGCCACCATGCCCGGCTAATTTTTTGTATTTTTAGTGGAGACAGCGTGTCACCATGCTGGCCAGGCTGGTCTCGAACTCCTGACCTCAAGTGATCCACCTGCCTTGTCCTCCCAAAGTGCTGGGATTACAGGTGTGAACCACCGTGCCCAGCCGATCTACATTTATTTTAAATAGAAGATTTAATTTAATTTTAAAAAACTAGAAATGCCAGGCAAAATAGGACACACATTTAAAACAACAACAACAACAACAACAGCAGCAGCAACAACAACAACAACAACAACAACAGAACTAAAGTTGAACCTACAAGAAATTAAGGGAAATCCATGGGGCCAAAAAGCAAAGAGTAAACTGAATGCCAGACTAGTAAGTGCATAACTGATTCTGTGCCTGCCCTAGTGATGGAGATGGGATTTGATCATCTCAAAAACTCAGGCTGTTGAGTTTTAATTCCTTCATAATCACAGATCAAGTCTTGAGTGTATGCGAGTTCACACCATGGGAACTGCAACCCTAAGATAAAGGCAAGACCCTTGAGGTCCAGACACTTAACAGAAGGACTAGGGGGAAAATGTCCACACACCAGCATAGGGAATTTAAGTATCTTAGTCTTAATTCCATATGAAAAAAAAATTCCACGTTGGAACAGTGGACCTGTTCTCTCAAAATTTGGAAGTGCATGTATATTGGCCTATACATATTATATATATTACATTGAATACATATATCCTATATGATTGTGGAAACATTTACGTGGGAAATTAATATGAAAATTGATCTTGTAGCCTGTGATATCCTTAAGGTATGGCAGCAATGAAAGATTTGAGAGTCAGGCCACCAACCGGCTGCATAGGATTCCTGTCGATAGAGCCCTGCTAATGACAAACTTGCAATCCTAAAATATGTAACACACAAGGAAATACTTGCGAGGAGTAAGCACCAGCAGGCACAACATTGATGATATAAGAGAGAAAAGCCATACAGTTATCTATATTGATGCAAAAGTAGCAGTTAATAAAATGAATACTTACTCTCAATTGAAAAATATTAGCAAACTAGGAATAAAGGTATACTCTCAATGTACAGTAGATAATCTTGATAGTAAAAATGTTACCACATTCACCTTAACATTAGGTGTGAGATAAGAATGCCCACTGTCATTGCTTGTATTCATTATTGTATTTGAGGTCCTAGTCAGTGTAGTAAGGCTAGAAAAAAAATGAAATAGAAGGATAACTCTCATTATTCAGAGACTACTAAATTGTGCAGATAGAAAAATCCAAGAGTACTTGTACATAAAATAATAAAACTAATAAAATAATTCAGTAAAGATTGCTGGAAGCAAATTAATGCACAAATGACTGTGCTCTTACACAGTACCAAAAACTAAATAGAAAGCAAAATTTCAAAAGGCAGTACTAGTAAAATATATGGTATGTTGTAATAAGTTCAATAAAAAATGTGTAAGACCTTTATGGAAGATTTAGATGCTTACCTAAATAAAAGGAGAGCTATAATATGTTCATATATAGGAAATCTCAACATCATAAACATACCAATTTTCCCCTATGTTAATCTATAAGCATAATTTCAATTCTAAGTATCATATAGGAGTGCAAAGAAATGAAAATAATTTTGAAAAAGAACAAAATAGGGGACTTGCCTGGACAATTAAAATGTTTCTTTTAACTATACTAGTGGCATAGGCGGGAGTAGCAAGTGTGGCAAAATTGAGAGCCCAGAAACAGATATATGCGTATGTGGAAGTTTGGTATATATTGAAAGTGGCCCTGTAAATCAGTGCAGGAAAGAGGGATAGTCAATACATGGTGCTCAGATATGATTATCGATAGTCAGAGGAAAACATTAGAACATATCAATTCATGTAAAGAATAAATTCCAAGTGCATTAATCTCTACTTGTAAAAAACAATGTCTGGAAACATTTAGAAAGAAATATAGAAGAATATCTTTGTGATTTCTAGAGAGTGAAATATTCGCTAACTAAGATACAAAAAGTTTGAGTTACAAAGGAAAATACGGATAAATTCAAGCACAATAAAAAATACACATCTGTATCACAAAAATATAAACCTAAAGAAAAGCCATAGAGTGGAATAAAATCTTGACAATGAATATAACCAATAAAGGACTAGTATTTGAAATATTAAGTAACTTTTACTTACCAATAAAATAGAAGCAAAAAGAGGCTAGTAGAAAAGTGGGCAAAGAATATGAACAGGAAATTCATAGAAGGTGAATCTGCATAGTAAAAAACAAATGAGAATTATAATTTCACTGACAAAAAACTGAAAAAGCATATGAAATGAGGCTGGGTGTGGTGGCTTACACCTGTAATCCCAGCACTTTGGGAGGCCACGATGCGCGGATCACTTGCGGTCAGGAGTTTGAGACCAGCAAGACGAAACCCCATTTCTAAAAATACAAAAATTAGCCTGGTGTGGTAGCACATGCCTGTAATCCCAGCTACTCGGAAGGCTGAGACACAAGAATCGCTTGAGCCCAGGAGGCGGAGGTTGCAGTGAGCCAAGATTGCACCACTGCACTCCAGCCTATGTGAGAGAGCAAAACTCTGTCTACCCCAAAAAGAAAAAAAGAATATGAAATGACATATTTCACATTCTTCATATTGGGAAAAAAAAGTTTTAAAATGTCAAATATTGACCTAGATGTATAAAAATAAGAACCTTCCTGCACTGGTAATGAGGGTGAAAACTGGTATGTCCATGTTAGAGAGCAATTTGTCAATATCTGGTAATAGTGATGCTGTAAACACCCAGAAGAGAACAACCCCGCTCAGGTATATATCCCAGAGAAATGCGTAAATATGCCTAACATGGTGGTTTAAGATTGCTCATTGCAGAACTGTGGGTGCAGTTTAAAATTTGAAACCAACTGCCAAATGAAGATTTGGAACAATTTTCATCAACATTTAGGAAAATTGATCAATGAAGAATAAAGAGAATTGATCAATAAATTTTGGTATATTTATAAATGGGATTCCTACAGATCTCTAAAAGTGAATGAATTAGAGTTACATCTGTTAACGTGGATATTCTCAAAAACAGTTTTCAGAGAAAAAAAAACTGCAGAAGGTTTTTGGCACAATATGATTCCATGTACTCAGTTACCTCTCCTATTTCTGATGTAGTATTTGCTTAACTTTTTCATTTCTTAGGACTAATATAGCATTCTTTAGTCTATTTCTACACAAACCTTAGCCTACATTCTGAAATTTGCTTGTAGGCCTGAGAATCTCCAAATTTGCCTGCTCCCTGAGCTCATCTAATTTAAACAGGTATCTGAGGGTAGAAAACATCCTAAATCAAATGTGTATATATGTATTTGTGCATATATGTGCATAAATTGAGAGAATAATAGTTTCTGTGGTGTTTCAGAAGTAAGACAAGTGCATGTCATTGCATGTGCTCTCCCAGCTTGGTTCCTGGCATGGGGTCAGGCCTGTGGCACACCCACTTTTTCCATGTCTAAGAAACAGGGACAGGCTGGGTGTGGTGGCTCACGCCTGTAATCCCAGCACTTTGGGAGGCCGAGGCGGGCGGATCACGAGGTCAGGAGTTCAAGACCAGCCTGACCAACATGGTGAAACCCCGTCTCTACTAAAAATACAAAAATTAGCCAGGCGTGGTCAGTGCATGCCTGTAATCCCAGCTACTCAGGAGGCTGAGGCAGGGGAATCGCTTGAAACTGGGAGGCAGAGGTTGCAGGGAGCTGAGATCGCGCCATTGCACTCCAGCCTGAGCGACAGAGTGGGACTCCGTCTCAAAAAAAAAAAAAAAAAACAAAAAAAAAGGACAATAACACCACTTTTTGGCTATAATGAAATTAGATTAATTCAAAAGCATGGTAGCAGGTTCTTTAATAAGATTATTTCGGAAGCATGGTAGCAGGTTCTTTAATAATTCACTCATTCCTGCTCCCCACATTTTAGGCAGCTGTAAACCTTAATCATTCCTCACCCATTCCCATATTAAGAACTTTCACTGTCATTTTGGAAGTACTCTGAGATTTTTAAGAAGGAAACCTACTTCCCTTGGAATGCTTATCAGGTCTCTTTATCCTTGAACTGCCTTAGAGACTTATTAAGTCTTCATAAATATTGAATGCTTGTGGTCAGTTTTTCTTGGAAGAGGAATATGGAGGTGATTACATATAAAACCAAACTGAAAGCCATCCCAAAGCTTTAGAAAGCATTTCAGTGCCTTCCCTTTTTATCAGTGTACTCCTTCAAATTCATGATTTAGGGCATTCATGATTTAGGAAAATAGCAAATGTAGCTATTTTCCTCATATATTTCTTGTGGATAAAGTTATTTCAGAATTTGATTACTTTAAATAGTCAGTTCTTTTGCACTGCAAACCATATGCCAGCCAGAATGTCCCTTTCTCTTGCAGAAGTGTGTAACTTGATATTCTAGTTAAGTGCCAATCATGGGAAACACAGGTTTAAGTTAACTACTATTTTAAAAATTAATATATTTTTATTCTTCAAAACACATACTTCTCAGGCTTTATGACACCATTATTTGAGTCAATATATCATCAAATGAATATAATAAATTATAGTGCTATGAACTCCAGGGAAATTTTATTAATGTTTTTAATATATCCTCATGTGGAATCAACATATGTTTTTTATATATTCATAAATTTATGACTTCAAAACTCTTCAATACAGGGTGTTACGAATGTTGTAATGGATAGAAAATACATAATTGTGAAATGATGTTCTTGAATTTTCAAATACTCCTGATAACCATTAGCTCTTGCATATACTAATTACACTGAAATTAAAAACTTGTAAGTAATATTTCTGCAGCTTAGTTGCTTTGGCCCAAAGGAATTATTCCAGAATAAGCTGGCAGGTTCCTGCTTGGGGAATTAGGATTCCAATGTCCTTAACTTTAAAATAACTTGCATTTCATTTTATGTCTGTTTCATAAAGTAGTCTTTCATTTTCATACTAAATTGTAACCAAAGCAAGCCACATCAATAGAGGCCAGTCACTGGATTTACTGTGTATTAGGTTGGACAAAGTAAAATAGAATGTTAAAAATGGTCGCCAGGTGGTTGGGTTTAAAAATAAAAACGTTGCTACTGACTTATAAAGGAAACTGAGAAGTAATCTCCCTGAATCTTTATATCCATATCCTGGTACATAGTAGGTTCACCATAAGACATTGTTGAAGGAAGAATGAGTCCAAAATGGTGCATTATGTTTTGAAAATTCGTGACATAAAATGCTCTCTTTTTCATATCACCATGCTGCAATTGTAGTGGGATTTGTAGGAGAGTTGTACATACTTTTTAGGTTTATATTTTCAGGCTCAACACTCAAGATGCAAATCAGTGACTCCTGGAAACTCAGCTTACAATTAGGACACAGCAGGTGGCAATGGAGTGTAGACCATTGCTCTACACATGGTCTACACTGAAGGCCTGAGACACAGCCATAAGATACCTTTGATATATTCTTTTCTTACCTTTTAGTTTTAAGTTTCTTTTTACAAGAACAGTTTTTAATATAAATAGCTAAAATTAAGCAACTACTAAAAATGCATCTGAAAAATTATTTCTGAAAATGTTTAAAGAAAATGCCATTTTTATTAAGTTTCAACAAGTTTTGTATTCCAGTATTGCCATCAATTCAAATATTTTTTTTAACCTGTGACTCTCTAATTTGCTTGTTCCCTTGAAATTAGCATCAAAAGCTTTTTACAGCTGCAAGTCAGCATGGTACAAAAAGCTTTTTGGTTATCACTTCCCTAATCTGTTAGCAACTTCCCTCAACTGGGGCTTTTCCAAAATAAGAGAGTAATTTCAATTACTTCTTCACTTTTCCTATTATTTATTTTCTTCTTTTGTTCATACGTAAAAAGCAAAATGAAGTAGGCCATGTAAGTGAATGACCTTTTCAATAGGCATAGCTGTTGTTTCCCAGTAGAATGGAGTCATTTCCCCTTGACCAAGAGAAAGACTTCTCCACACCAGTACATTTTTTTCTACCATCCTCCCAGTTTGGTGCTGCTTGAATGTTTAAAATTTGACGTACTCTTAGCAAGATTTTAATAAATTTAAGAATCAAATACCTATAACAAAATTTTAAAAACAGAAATATGCAGTGTTACAAAATATTAAGACATGGCCAACCCATTGTGATAATCTGGGAAGATGTTCTGAACCACAAATCAAGAAAGCGCATCTACCTAAATACGATTTAACTACAAATTAGGTAACGCTTTTGGAGGCAGCTATAATGCTGTTCTTTTCACTCCAAAATGTCCTTCTCCCAAAGCCTTCTAAATCTAATTAGGGATTGTACCACCTCAAAAACACAAGCTGTGAGGAGACAAGGGGTACAAGTTGCAGTTGGAACAGAAAGTTTAAGGTGAAGATGGCATGAAATGGAAATGGAGGAGGGAGAGTTTGAGAAAAACTGCAAAGGAAAAAGAGTGGAAGTTAATATTAAAAATGTACTGGACACAATAAAATGCAAAATAACCACTACAGAAAACTAAAATCTGTAGTGTGGAGGAATATCTGTAGAATATTTCTCATAAGCACAAGAAAAGGTCAATGAAATTTTATATATATAAATATATAAATATAAATATATATATATATATATATATATATATATATATATATATATATGTATGTATGAGGAAATCATAGATGGACCAATGAAGAACTAATAGATGCAGAGAGAGGGAGCTCCAGCCTCAGAATTATAGGCATTTATGGCACAAGAGCAGTAATCAAAATCATAATCTGAAAATAATCAGCAGCATTGTAAATAAAGACCTTGAGTATTCCATTCAAAAAGGCTCACCATTTTCAGTAAAGACTGATGAAACACACGACTGGATACATCCTGATTATAACTTAACTTTTATATCAAGTACTAACACAACAAAACAAAAGTACTATAAGCTTTCAGGAAGAAACATAAAACACACAAGCAAAGGAATAATCAGATTTCTCCTCTGCAAGTCTCAATATCAAGGGTCAATGAAGTGTGTTTACAGCTTTGAGGAAAAAGAAGTAACATCATATCATGCAGCATTGCCTTTCCTGTATGAAATGCAAAGATTTAATCATAAGCCAGCCATGCATCCAACTAATTAAATAATACTTAACCAGCCAAGAGTTAAAAACTCATACGTGAAAAATTCATATTATGAAAGGACTGGGATTTGTTTTAAAATACTTCTAAATATGTATTGTAAGTATGGACAAAAATGAAAACCTAAAGATGTTTACCGAATAATTTTTATATTATATAAAAATAATGGACTCAGAAATCCCACTTCTAGGTATTTACCCAAGAGAAATGAAAAACTTTGTTACCATAAAACCTGCATGTGAATGTTTATAGCATTTTTTCATACTTACCCAAAACTAAAAACAAATATCTAGCTGGTGAATGAATAAACAAACAGTTGTACATATGTGCAATAGAATGCCAGCCGGCAATTAAAAAGGTGCAAACTATAGATACCTGCAACCACAAGAATGATTTTCAAGTATATTATGCTAAAAAGAGTCAGTCTCAAAAAGCTACATATGCTGGGATTCCATTTATATAACATTTTGGAAATGGCAAATTGTAGGGACAAAACCAACCAGTGGTTGCCAGGAGCTGAGGGTGGGGGAAGAGGTTGACTATACAGGGGCAACCTGAGAGCATTTTTGGGGTGATGGAACTGTTCCAAATATTGGTTGTGGTAGTGGTTGCACAATTGTATGGGTTTGTCAAAACTCTTAAAATTGTATACATCCCAAATAGAATTTTAATATATGTCAGTTTTTAAGTAGGGAAAAGGAGAAGCAACATAATCAGGAAAGGTAATATCGGCATAGCAATGTGAACATACTTAAACACTGAACCACACACTAAAAAGTGGTTAGGATGGTAAATTTTATGTTATGTGTATTTTGTCACAATTTTTAAAATTTTAAATTTAAAGCTACCAAAATAATGCTTGTATAATGGACTATGATGTAATCATTAAAATAATTTTTCCAAAGAATTATCATTGAAATGAGAAAATGCTTATCATATTAGATTAGGATGAATTAACAGTATGATTTTCAATCCTATAAATGGCAGAAACAGTGGAGGATTAAATGACAAAAGAATAAAGTTATTGGTGATAGGATTTTGAGTGACTACCTCTATACTTCTTGGCACATTACTGGTTTCCACTTACTCCTTTTGTAATCAAGAAAAATGGAAGCATCAGAAAGCATATGCAATGAGTTTTACATTGCTGACTCTATCAGTCATTTCATATAGGCTCATATTTAAATCATACTGGCAAAAAAATGACCTCCTATCCACTTTAAAATTATTTTTATTCCCATAGAAATAAATATTTTAATAACAATTGAAATAGTATCTGTTGACTTTTAATTCAAAATGATTATTTAAGCCTGTGTTTAGCTTTCCTGGCTCCAAATTTGCCATTGAATTCACCAGGAAAACATAAAGGGAAAAAATATGTAACTCCATTGAAAAATTAGGAAAAGTGCCATGAAGAGATCAGATATTTTTAAGGAGTTTATGTAAAATATAGACAGACAAGCACTGGACTGAGGAGAGTACCCGTTGGATGGAATTCCAGTCTCCCAAAGGAAAACTCTGCCTGGAAAATGAGTGGCAGGGTCGCAGAGCTAGTGGCTGTAGAGGAAGATAGGTTATGTGGTGGTCATCCCTGGAAAATTCTCAAACTTACCAGTATTAGCATCCCAAAAATACTGTTCCAACATGACTTGGTAGAATCCCATTTGGTAAGGTCAGTGGTTGAAACAAAATAGACCGGCTGCAGTAGCTCACGCCTGTAATCCCAGCACTTTGGGAGGCTGGGGCAGGTGGACTGCTTGAGGCCAGGAGTGTGAAACCAGCCTAGCCAACATGGTGTAACCCCGTCTCTAATAAAAATACAAAAATTAGCCAGGCACGGGGGTGTGCGCCTGCAATCCTAGCTACTCTGGAGGCTGAGGCTGGAGAATTGCTTGAACCTGGGAGATGGAGATTGCAGTGAGCCGAGATCAAGCCATTGCACTCCAGCCTGGGCGACAGAGTGAGACTCTGTCTCAAAAAAAAAAGGAAGCATTACTTCAAGCAAATTTCTAACAAAGACTGTTGTACTAATTAAAGGAAGACAGTGAGTGCCCTGCTAACTTGAGTTGCTTCAGTAAGGGAAGAGAAATGTCCTAGTGGAGACGTGCTACACAAATTCTTCTACATGTAGCATTTCCCTTTTCATTATAGAAAAGAATACACATATGCACACATGAGACACACACATATTGTACATTAATTGTAGTGGTTATATGGACCCTTGGGTAAGAATTGCATGTGAGTACTACTATTAACTAAAGAATTCATTCTTTATTTAATGTGACACTTCCACAAGACTTTTTGGCTCCCGATCCTTGAAAATTAGTTTCTTAGAATTAAACTTTGAATCTTTGGGGTAATGTGCACTAGTAAAAGTTTTACAGGGAACCAATGCCTTGTATTTGCTTTTTTTTTTTTTTTTTAATGCTTGCCTCTTCTATGAAATCATTATTTCTTCTTTCTTCTTTCTTTTTTCCTTTAGGAATTGTGAAGGGCAGAACATTCGGTACAAGACATGCAGCAATCATGTAAGTCATAAAATAAAATTATTTTATCCAATACAATATGTGCTTGTTTTAAGTTACAATATTCCAATGTGTACTCTAAAACTGATGGTCTCTTAATACCCTTTGTGGAAAACTTAAGTATTTCTTTAATTGACAACAGATTTTGTATATCAAATATCTTCCATTTATACTACCTTTTAAGGCCATATCACATTCATGATCTAATTTGGTAAGTATTTAATAATTTCTGAAGTCATAGAAACAATATAATATCTGCAAGCTCCTTCAAAGTTCAGAATGCTTTTATGTTCATTATCTTACCTGACCTTCACACTGTCTCTGGGCAGGTGAGGTGCAGCTATTTCTCTTTTGCGAGTGAGAGGACTGAGGCTGACCGAGGTAAAATTATTTTTTGAAGGTCACATAGGAAGAGTAGACTTACTTGAACTGGTCTGTTGTTATTTCTACCTCAGTGTCATGGAATGCTATAGGTGACCCATCAGCAAATCACACAGAAATATACAAAACCCTACCCTTATTTTACATCAGTCAACACTAAAAATAAAAATTCAAATATCTTGCTTTAGAAATTTGAAAATAAGGCCAGGCGCATTGGCTCATGCCTGTAATCCTAGCACTTTGGGAGGCCAAGGCAGGCAGATCACTTTAGGTTAAAAGTTCGAGACCAACCTGGCCAATGTGGTGAAATCCCATCTCTACTAAAAATACAAACTTAGCTGGGCTTGGTGATGTGTGCCTGTAGTCCCAGCTACTTTAGAGGCTGAGGAAGGAGAATTGCTTGAACCCAGGAGGTGAAGCTTGCAGTGAGCCAAGATCGCGCCACTGCACTCCAGCCTGGGCAACAGAGTGAGACTCTGTCTCAAAAAAAAAAAAATAAATAAATAAATTGAAAATAAAAAATAAACACCAGAAGGAATCCATTCTATTTTCCATTCAAAACATTTCCTGGTTATCAGTAAGAGGCTAACTAGAGGTACTTGACACTTGCCTCTTCATACACAAAAAGACCAAAACAACAAATAAACAACTACAATTAGACTAGAGTGTCTGAGGGAGAGCACTGGAATATAGCAAGGGAATAGCAGAATGCCTGTGGCACACAGTAACTCAAGATGGCAGCATAGGGAGGAGGGCGAAGTACTCTGCCTCTACTACTCCATCTCCCCTGTAAGGTAAGCAGGGAGCCCCTAGTAGCCCCTATTACCACTGCAGACACATGTAGTCCTTGCTACAGGAGAACGCGGCAGTCCTCACAGGCCCTGAGCCCAGTTTGGGGGAGCTGCCTGGAGTTCCCACAGCTGCATTGCTTCACAGTAGGAGCTCACATTGTGCACTGCCCACCTCCCATGACCCAGGCTGTTATGGCACAGTGCCACCTTGAAACTGGAGCCACTGCTAGAGTGTGCTGTACTCTAGGGGACAGTAACCACTGATCTTTCCATCCCACAGATGACTGCAGCACCACAACCCTAGCTATTTAGACCCTAGGCCTGGTGAAATGGTGGTGACTCTTGCATCCAAGTCCACATGGCACCCTTCCCTGCAAGGAACAGGTCCTGCACAGTTGTGCATGTACCTCCAGCTTAAGAACCAGCCTGGTGGCCCTTTCTCTGGCAAAGGTGCACCACTACTGCCCTAAACTCCTGCAGCCTAGGCTATTGAAGCACTCACAGATATTACTACATGGATTACAGCTGATGAAACTGTGTGTAGACCCAACTACTGTGTCCACCCAGAACCAATGTGAATTCACACTACTCAACTGACACCCTAGGACACATCTTTAGGGAAAAGTCTTTCCTTATAAAAGCTACTCTGTAAAATTGGAAGCAAAAACGAATTCAGCAGATGCACAGATATCAAAGTAGATACACAAGGCTGGGTGTGGTGGCTCATGTCTGTAATCCCAGCACTTTGGGAGGCTGGGGTGGGCAGGTAACTTGAAGTCAGGAGTTTAAGACAAGCCTGGCCAACATGGTGAAACTCTGTCTCTACGAAAAATACAAAAATCAGCCAGGTGTGGTGGCACTCACCTGTAATCCCAGCTACTTGGGAGGTGAGGCAGGAGAATTGCTTGAACCTGAGAGGTGGAGGTTGCAGTGAGCTGAGATCACACCACTGCACTCCAGCCTGGGTGACAGAACCAGATTCCATCTCAAACAAGCAAGCAAAAAACAAAACAAAGTAGATACACAAGAAACTTTAGAAAGCAAAGAAACATGACACCTTCAAAGGAATATAATTCTTGAGTAACAAACTCCAAAGAAAAGGAAACTTACAAAATGCCAGAAAAAGAATTCAAAGTAGTGATCTTAGGGAAACTTGTGAGATACAGAAGAACACAGATAAAAAATTTAATGAAATCATTTGAATTTACAATAGCTATATTTACAAGAGCTACAAAAAAGTAAGATATTCAGGAATAAATTTAACCAAGAAGGTAAAAGATCTTTGCATTAAAAATTATAAAGCATTAATGGCCGGGCATGGTGGCTCACGCCTGTAATCCCAGCACTTTGGGAGGCTGAGGCAGGTGGATCACGAGGTCAGGAATTCAAAAACTAGCCTGGCCAACATAGTGAAACTCCATCTCTACTAAAAATACAAAAAATTAGCTGGGTGTGGTGGTGGGCAATCGTAATCCCAGCTACTTGGGAGGCTGAGGCAGGAGAATCACTCGAACCCGGGAGGTGGGAGTTGCAGTGAGCTGAGGTTGTGCCATTGCACTCCAGCCTAGGTGACAGTGCGAGACTGTCTCAATAAATAAATAAATCAAAACAGTAATGAAATAAAGAGGGTGCAAAAAGAGGTGTTCATGGATTGGAAAAATTCATATTGTTAAAATGTCCTTACTATCCAAAGTGATATACAGATTTAATACAATCCCTGTTAAAATTCCAGTGACATTCTTCACAGAAAAAAAGAAATCCTAAAACTTGTATAGAATCACAAAAAGACTCTGAACACCCAAAGCAATCTTGATTAAAAACAAACAAACACACAAAAAACAAAACTGGAGGCATCACACTACCTGACTTCAAAATATATGACAAAGTGATAGTAACTAAAACAGCATGACATTGGTGAAAAAATACACATAGATCAGTGGCACAGATTAGAGAGTCCAGAAATAAGTCCACATACCTACAGCCAACTGATTTTCACAAGGGTGCCAAGAATACACACTGGGGAAAGGACAGTGTCTTCAATAAACTGTGCTGGGAAAATTGGATATCTATATGCAGAAGAATAAAACTGGACCCCTATCTCTCACCGTGTACAAAATCCACTAAAAATGAAGTAAAGACTTAAATGTAAGACTTGAAAATAAGAAACTGATAGAAGAAAACAGAGAAAATGCTTCATGACGTTGGACTGGGTAAGGATTTTTAAAATATGACCTCAAAAGCACAGACAATAAAAGCAAAAATAGACAAATGGGATTATATTAAACTACAAAGCTTACGTACATCGAAGGAAACAAGAGTAAAGAGATAACCTGAAGAATGGGAGAAAATATTTGCAAACTAGACAGCTGGACACGGAAATATTTAGAATATATAAGGAATTCAAACAACTCAATAGCAAAGAAACCCAAAACAAATAATTTGATTTAAAAATGGGCAAAAGGCCTTAATGGACATTTCTCAATAGAAAACATAAATACCAACCCAGGTGTATGAAAAAATGCTTAACATCACTAATCATCAGAGAAATACAAATCAAAACCACTATATCACCTCATTCCACTTAAAATGATTATTATCACAAAGACAAAAGACACAAGTGTTCCTGAGGATGTGGAGAAAAGGGAACCCTTATTGCTATTAGTGGGAATGTAAATTAGTTCAGTGTTTGTGGAAAATAGTATGGAGTTCCTCAAAATTTAAAAAATAGAACTACAATATGATCCAGCAATCCCATTACTGATTATATATTCAGAGGAAATGAAATCAGTATATCACAGAGACATCCTCACTCACGTGTTTATTGTAGCACTATTCACAATAGCCAAGGTATGGAATCAACTTAAATGTCCAACAGTGAATGAATGGTTAAAGAAAATGTGGTATATATACACAATGAAATACTATGCAGCCGTAAAAAGAAGGAAATGCTGTCATTTGTGACATGGATGAATCTAGAGGATATTATGTTAAGTGAAATAATCCAGGCACAGAAAGACAAATACCACATAATCTCATTCATACGTGGAATCCAAAAAAAAAAAAAAAACAACTTGATATCTTAAAAGTAGGCAATAAACCAGTGGTTACCAGAGACTGGGGAGGACAGGGGGCAGGTAGAGATTGGGAGAGGTTAGTCAAGAAAGTTACAACTAGGAAGGAAGGATGATTTTTGGTGTCCTGTTGCACAGTGGAGTAGCTATAGTAAACAGCAAGACATTGTATATCTCAATTTAGCCAGAAGAGAGGATCTCGAATGTTCCCACCACAAAGAAATGATAAATTTTTGAGGTGGTGAACATGCTAATGACCCTAATTTGTTCATTATATAATGTATACATGTATTGAAACATCACGTTGTACCCCATAAATATGTGCAATTTGTGGAGCCCTAAGGAGTTGAAAGAAAACTGAAAAATGGGCTTAGCTGGCAGAAACAGAAATAGGGGGTAGAGAGGAACAAATGTTCTGAGAAATAGGGTCAACTGCAAATGGCTCACTAGCACCCAAGCATCCTGTTACAAGCATCCAAATCACAGCCCACCTGCACCAAGCATCCTGTCTGCAAACATTCAGCCCAAGTAGCACAACCTAAAAAACTCCCTTGCAGTCCCTGCCTCTTTGCAGACAGCAGACAGCCTTCCCTCTGCTGTATTGCCCATTGCTCACTGGCAGTGTATCTCCCCTTTTCTTTAAATAGATCTGCCTTTCCAGACTCGTTACTGTCTTGGTAAATTCCTTTACTGACTATGTGTCGGCCCCAGGCAATCACTAACCATGACATTTTATGTGTTTATTAAAAGTTTTAAAAACATTTCCCTCATTGGTGGTATAGACCCAAATCAAAATGACAGGAATTAAAAGGAAATTCTGAAAATCAGGAGATCTCATTTCAAATGAGATTGATTTATTTTTATCCACTTTTCTCAATTGGCTGTAACTAATTTATTTTAAAAGATCAATTACTGGAGCTTTGTCTGTCTTTCTCCCTTCTCTGTCCCAAGCCAGTGTGAGACATCAGTCCTGGGTAAGGGTTTCTAATCTGTGGATCAAGTTTTTTCTTGGTGGGTAGGCCCCCGAGTTCTATGGGAGTAGAAAGCTGGCAGTCTTTAGCAACACCTTTTGACTGAGAGCTCAAGCCATATTTGCAGTCCATTTCTATCAACGATGAAGCTGACATTTCTATCTGTATCTCTCCACTGGTTCCAAACTTGAATGGGAAAAAATGGGTGCCTATTTACTGGGGCACTCAAACTCAAATATCACTTAGCCAGAAGTAACCAGATTTTTATCAACCGAGTCCTCAGAGGGATTTTGGAGCACGATGCAAATGCTTCACATCTCTGGTGATTTGAATTGAATCACACTTGATGTTGAGCAACACACCTGCTTGTGAATGCTGAATTAACATTCATTCATTGTGAATGCTGGAAGTCCAGATGGGGCATGTAGGAGGGAGAGAGAGAGACTGAACACAAAGGCAAGTATGTCAGTGCCAACGTAGTCTAGCCTTCCTTTTAAACAAGCATGTGGGTGCATTAGCAACCTCAGAGTTCTACCACCTTTTTCATGGGTGCATTAGTTGTTTTTATTGTTGTGGTAACATATTACTATAAATATAGTGGCTTAAAACAAGACAAATGTATTATCTTACGGTTCTGAAGGCCCGAAGTCTGACACAGGTCCTACTGGGCTAAAACTAACATATAGGCAGGGCTACATCATTCTGGAGGCCTAGGGAAAAATTAATTTCCTTTTTTTCCCAGCTTCTAGAGGCCACCCATATTCCTTGGCTTGTGATTCCTTCTTCAGTCTTCAAAGCCAGCAATGCTGCATCTGTTTGAACATTTTTCTTTTTCTTTTATTTTTCTTTTGAGACTGAGTCTCACTCTATCACCCAGGCTGGGGTACAGTGGCACGATCTCAGCTCACTGAAACCTCTGCCTCCCGGGTTCAAGCGATTCTCCTGCCTCAGCCTCCTGAGCAGCTGGGATTACAGATGCTAACCAGAATGCCCAGCTAATTTTTGTATTTTTAGTAGAAACAGGGTTTCACCATATTGGCCAGGCTGGTCTTGAACTCCTGACCTCAAGTGATCCGCCCACTTCGGCCTCCCAAAGTGCTGGGATTACAGGCATGAGCCACCGCACCCAGACTGAACATTTTTCTGTAGTCATATCTTCCTGTGACCACAGCTGGGCATTGTTCTCCCACCTGGATAATCCTAGATAATTTCTCCGTCTCGAGGTCTCTAACTTTAGTTATATGTGCAAAGATCCTTTTGCCATGTAAGATAACATAGTCGCAGGTTCCAGGGGTTAGGTCATGGACATCTTGTGGGCCAAGGTGGTGCATTATTTTGCCCAACACAATGGGATAGCTAAAGTTTTCTTTGGTCTGACAATTTCCTTGTAGTCATTCAAGAACAAATTTCAAAACAGTATGATTTCCAGCAATAATTTGTGAAACTATTTAAAACAATTCATTTTAAACCCCAGATCAAGGTGTTACATTTTGGGATCTCATTCTAGAGTTTCTCTGTGTGTGTATCACTCTGCTCTAGCTAATTCCAAAAAGGAACCTATTATCAACACAAGTGTTAGAGTATTATGCCACATAGTACAGACATAAAATGTAATCTGCTAAAATTATGCACATGAGGTGCAATGGTTAGGACTTTGGTATACTCGAGTGAAGATATGATGCCCCTGAAGCTCTCTGGGCCTTGGGGGTTACCTGTGGTCTCTAATTTATGGTCCCTCTGGGAGAATGCGGCAGAAATGTTTCTAGGTTGGTAAGAAATAGATGCTTGGGGTAGAGTAGGAAGGAGGTGGAGAAGCAAATGCTGCCCTTTTTAGTTCTCAGAGTTGGAATCCTTAGAGAGTCCTAAGAGAGGTTTCATAAGAATATAGCATCAGTTGCTATGCTTGTCATTGCAAACTCAGAATTTCCAACAAAATTCCTTATTTGTAAAATAAGGGAAGGTTGTGGCAGTGGAAGTGTCCAGAGCATCCCTTTGTCTCCACGTGCCACAGTATCTGCAGCTGTGCACGCCCAAGCTGTGTTGCAAACCAGAGGTGCATAAATGCAGCCCCAGCTTCAGTGTTGATAATCTGTAAGAGTCCATTCCTGCACAGGAGAGATTATGCAAGTATATTCCTGAATATACTATAGAAACATTGCAAACATGTTGAGTGCCATAAGTGGATGTAACCACAATGAACTTGGAGTATGAATATGGTTGTATCTTTTTTTCCATGTAATTACTTGAACTGCTTCCTGCTTTATTAATTGGGGGCTCAAAATATCCACCTCACCATAGCAGGAGTGGGGACCAGTCTGCAACCCACCCCACCTCAAGTGGGAGAGGACCAAGTTCTGATGAGCATCCCCCTGCTGTTACTTCTCACTGCCTTCCCACTGCCATTCAATGCCTTACTGAAGACTGGCCACACTAGTTCAGTGGTTAGTGGAGTTCATTTTACCTGGAAATGGGGATGGTCATTCACTCTTTTGAAGGAAGTTGCCTTTAGTGATTCTAAGATGAGGAGTTCTTTTGAGGGATACTTGCCCCCTGATTCAAACATGCCTACACCTATACTTCCAGGACCGTAAAAGCCCTGTATTAAGGGACGGCAGGGTCTTTTCAGTCCCATCCAAGAGATGTCATCATCAATGGCCAAACTCAGTCTCTATCAGAGTAGTCTGCTGTATGGAGAAGGAGGTGTTTCTGTTAGTGAGCCTTGGAGATCTAACACTGGATCATATTCCAGAGATTGCTAAAAGTTCTGTTTCTCCATGGGAATGCCTGAAGGCTCAGGCTGTCAGCCTTAAGACCATGGGTTGTTGTCTATACGTGTTGACTTCCTCACACTTAACTGAAATAGTAATAATAATAGTAGCTCATACTTATTAAGTACTTCCTGAATGCTAGGCATTATTCTAAGTGCCATTTCATGTATAAATTAATGTAATCCTCACACTAACCCTGAGAAGTACGTGCTATTTTTATTTCCACATTTACAGAGGAGATTTAAGTAACCTGCCCAAGGTCACAGAACCGAATTTAACCTCAGACAGTCAGGTTTCGGTGAGTGCACACCTAACCACTCTACTACACTGTACAAGAGTATGGAAAGGCTGTAACCTTTGTCAGATAATAAAATGATGGTGCAGACAGCAGTAGCTAAAGCATGGTAGCTTTTAGCAACACGTGAGCACAAGAATTGCTGTGGTTTTGGAGACACATTATACTTCCAGATACCATTGTAGAAAATCTAACTGTGGAACAGTAGGTCAGACCTTCTAAATAATCTTAGTTGGCAAGGGCCAGAGATCAGGGAAGAGCAGGGAATTAACTGAAAGAGACGCAACTGAAGGGAGTCAGAGAAAGGAAATCCTCCATGGCTATTCGTTTTCCACTACTCCAGCAGCCTGGGGTGGATCCCTAGCATAGGGGAGGATCTGACTTAACGAGGACAGACTCTGACAGTTGCATTTCAGAATTCTACCCACCTCAGCAGAAGACACTAAAGAAAAAAAAATTCAGTCACTCAAGAAAAGATCAAATGTTCTTTTGTTATGAAATCTAGTTGTAATAGGGACATGCATTCACAGCACATAGATGAAGATGAAGAAATTCCACTCCTGGTGTGCAGGAGATCATGCCTCAAATGGCAGGAGCGGAAGACATATCCAGGCCACGAGGACCACACCACTCTCCCTGACAATTCAGACTTTGGTTCAGTGGCTCTCCTCAGGTTCACTCTGTCAGGGGAGATGGGGATTTGGGCTTTGGGCCTGAAAGATTATGGAACAGAACATGCCTGGGTACAGTGCCATGGCTCCTGGGTGACTGCTGTCTTCAGACATAACCTGCTGATCAGCACTTAGCATATATCTTTATAGCCAGAGACTGGCCCCTGAGCCCTAGATAAAGAATTATCCTTATCAGGGGTATTTTGGAGCAAATGGAGAATTCCTAAGAGAAGTCATGCATGTCAGCAGGGAGGTCTAATACCTGAATTCACTGATGAGTCATGTTTTTATACCAGGGTTTATAGGATTAAAGGCAATGCTGGAAGAGGCAAAGGGAAAATAATTTTAAGATAAGTGTATCATAATTTGGTAAGGATGTTTTTGTGGCATGAACACATTTTTATATGAGCACAGAGGGAGGCCTGGTGTACTTGCAGACGGGGCTCCCAGGGCTCCTTCTTGACTTTACAGAAGGGACATTTGATGTGACCATTGCGGGATCCCTCATACCTGGATCCTATGAATGGCTAGAATCTGACAATTTTCCATTCAGTATTTCTCTTGAAGGTGTTCTTTTCTTTTCCTTGTCATTAGTCCTACTCTGGGCAAGAGTCACCCCCTCTCATGTCTGTCTCCAGACTTCCAGGCCATCTTGCGATTATACTGTTCCTAAAATGCCATCTTTTATATTTTAGTCCCCTCCGTGGATCCTTATTGCTTTTAAATCTCCTCACTTGCATTCAAGGACCTTCTTATCTTCAGGTAAGATTTATCTCTTATTTAAACTCCCAACTTCCACCCTTTCTGGACAAGGCTGCACACTGCTCCTTATGGATAACGAATTTATTTCTGCTGTTTCTCTTTTGTTACGTCGTTTCCCGAATCTTATCCTGTTTACATCACACCATCCTTTAAATCCATCTGAGATTTCACTTTTCCACAATTCCTTATTTGCCAACTCTAGCTTACAGTGGCCACCAACAATTTATTTTTATGCTAGAAATGTTGTCATTTGTTATATGAAAGAATCACAAAATTTAGCTCATAGTACAACTTGGATATGAAGTTAAAATAAAATTTTAAAATTTGCTTGTAGCAACAATATTATTTCTCCTGAGTCCCTACTTGCTGGTTATTGGGAGAGGGGATTGGGAGGGGGATTGCCTAAATGTCTGATCTACATGAAAGCTTGGTCCAGTCCTATTATATAAATAATCTCAGGTAATGGCCTGTCTCTCTTGCATAAAAGTACTCAGTTTATTAGATAATCTTTCATTCCTGGCTTCTATACATAAGTTGCCCCCAGGTTTTACATATCCCCATGGTTTTAGGAGGGGAAGGAGACCTTGTTTTCAAGATGGTTTGGGAAATGGGTGCCTTTTGTCATTTGTTGGCTGTGGCAGCTGCCTCCTCTTCCTTTCTCTTCCCTTCTCCTCCTCTCCATCCTCTTCTCTTCCTCCTATCCTTCTCCTCCTCTTTCTTCTTTTCTGAGCTTCCCAGACTGGCTACCTGCACTGACTGACACTTCCTTTTTATTACTTCTATCAGGTTAGAGTCAAGTCTTGCTGATATGGAATCTATTCTTATTAACTTCATCTAATCAATTGTACAACTTAACTCTTGGATAACAATTCTGTGCCCTTCATTGCATTCCTACTTAAAGTCTACAAATACCAGTGATAACACTTGTTCAGTGTGTTTCATGCGTATAGAAGCTACATCTCCAATAAGATAACAAGCTCATTGAATGACAGTGGTGGATTATATTTTTTTTTGTGTGTTCTCCCTAGCACGTGACCTAGGGCAAAGCCCATCAAGTATATTTCATAAATAAGTGTTGTCTTCAACTTAACTGATAGGAAAAAAATGCTTCTTAGGGAAAGGAAAGCAGAAGAATGTTTGGCATTTTGCTCCCTAAATGTCAAATAGACTGTTTAAGACACAAGAATCCCTAGCTTGTCTTGAGCTGGGACATGGGACCTAGCTGAGCCAGATTAGGCAAGTTTAGCGTTGACACTGGAAGAATGTGAAGTGAATGAAAGCATTTATTGTAAGCAGTCAGCGTCCCCCACATTTACTAGAAAGCAGTATTCTATAATAGAGTGCTTGTTACTTTGAGAATCAGTCTTGGCTTTGTCATATCCTAGTGTGTGTCTTTGGACTAGTGGCTAAAAACTTTCTAGGTCACAGTTTTCTCCATTTATAGAGTGAGGGTAATAATCCTGACCTACCTAGTTCAAAGGGTGGTGGTAAAAAGAGAATGTCAGTGATTACCCCTGGGAAACTAAAAAGCATGATCCGGATATCAGGCTGCCTTAATCAGATAGCATCATATGCTAAGAACAGAAGTCCACTTAGATTAGCTCAGGACAAAGGGGATTCACTGGATGGATATGTGGGTTTTTAAGAGAATTTAAGCATAAGCAGGCCTTGAGGGCCTGGAGCCAGAAATCAGAAAATGAGGAACACAGGTTACTTATTCCTATTTAAATGCATAGTTTACTGTCTTTCCTCCTCCTTTCTTACCGAATTCATTCTTCTTTGCTGTGGGAACTGGCTTGCTTTGCTTCAACATGAATCTTATAAAAGAAATGGCCAGTCCAACCCCAGATTGATATGAGTTCTTAGCTCTCTTAGCTCCAGCTCTTTTGTTGCAATCGCAAATTTCTGGGAAAGATTGACCTGGTGTGGACCAGATGTTTGCCTCTGGATAGTCAGCTGTGGCCAAGGGGGCTGGTCACATGTACAAATCTGGCCACCCTGAGGCTGACATCCTAAGGTGTCTTCCGCTAATTAACTCTTGTTAATTTTGTGAAACTTCATTGGTTTATGTTTAAGGGAGTCGAGAGTTAGCTAGCCGGCACATTCAGTCCCTAGAGAATGCTTGCCATTGAGCCTAATGCAAAGAAGTTGCTTGCATCCTGCTCTCTTAGACACTTTCCTTTGGTTGGTTTCAAAGAGTGAGATATAGAGAAAACTAGCTGTGGCTGGAGGAAGAGGAGGTGATGTAATTTTGTAACTGATGATCCTTCCTATGGCCAGATGGAGGATACAGTCCTCATTTCAACAGAGGAAAGTCATCTGGCCTGGCACGGTGGTTCATGCCTGTAATCCCAGCACTTTGGGAGGCCAAGGCAGGCAGATTGCCTGAGCCCAGGAGTTTGAGACCAGCGTGGGCAACATGGCAAAACTGTCTCTACAAAAAATTAGCTGGATGTAGTGGCTCGTGCCTGTAGCCCCAGCTACCTGGGAGGCTGAGGTGGGAGGAAAACCTGAGCTCTGGAGGTCGAGGTTGCAGTGAGCCATGATCATGCCACTGCGCTCCATCCTGGGTGACAGAGTAAGACCCTGACTAAAGAAAAAGTCATCCAGTTTTAGTCTTCTTCAGTTTGACTTGCTTCTAGGAGTGTAACCTGGTTTAATTTTGCTAAGACAACAAAAATGTGGATGCAATATAGGATTTTGGAATGTTTCACAGCAAAATAATACAACTAATCTCAGAAGAATGTTTGTTAATTATATTCTATCTATTCCCTATCTACTTCCAAAAAGGATTTAAGGAAGTTTATAAAGGCCAAAAGTGTAAACAATAAAATACAAACGTGAAGTAGCAAAAAGAGGAAAACTGTATTTAAAAATCTTGGCTGATAATTTATCAATATCTATTTGTGGAAAAAGAAAAGCTAGATTTCTAACTTAAACCATTCATCTAAATAAATTCCAAATATAACAAATAGTTAAACATGACTGCTAATCTGTAAAGGAACTAGGAAGATACATTTAAGTATTTATCTGTTCTCAGAGCAGAGTGGGAAAACATTTCTAAGCCCATTAAAAAAGAAAGAAACCTGAACGGGAAATATTAATAGAGCTGACTGCATGAAAATGTAAAACTTTTTGACTTTACAAAGTACCAAAACCAAAATGAAATGGGGAAAATATTTCCAACAGAAATGACAAAGAGTTGATAATTTCACTATGAAGTTTAATAGTTTCATCTGCTGAAAATAATAAAAAGACAAAAATGCCAATGGATAAAGGATATAAAACAAGACATTTTTGAAGAATTAATACAAAAAGCAAATACACATGAAAATATATTAAACAATAAAAAGAAAATGCAAGCTGGGCGCGGTGGCTCACACCTGTAATCCCAACACTTTGGGAGGCTGAGGTGGGTGAATCACTTGAGGTCAGAAGTTTGAGACCAGCCTGGCCAACATGGTGAAACCCCATCTCTAATAAAAATACAAAAAAATTAGCTGGGCATGGTGGCGGGCACCTGTAATCCCAGCTACTCGAGAGGCTGAGACAGGAGAATCACTTGAACCTGGGAGGTCCAGCCTAGGTGACAAAGCAAGACTCTATTTCAAAAAGAAAACGCAAACGAAAACAATGAAGTTATATTTTATACTTCTGATTGGAAAAAAAACTAGAAAATTATAATGGAGGGCAATTTTGCAATATTTTGAATAGTCTATAAAATGTGCATAACCTTGGACTCAGAAATTTTATTTCCAGAAAGAAGTCCTTGGTAAATAATCAAGATTTGTGTGAAGATTTAGATACAAAGATCTATGTTATTTATTCTTTTGTTGAGTAGAAACTATTTTCCAAAGTTTTTAGAATGAATATTTATTACCTTTATAATACAAAAAAATAATAAAATACTTTATGGTGTGGTTTTTTTGTTTTGTTTTTTTGGCAACAGAGTCTCGCTCTGTCACTCAGGCTGGAGTGCAGTGGCACAATCTTGGCTCACTGCAGCCTCCACCTCCCAGGTTCAAGCAATTCTCCTGCCTCAGCCTCATGAACAGCTGGGACTACAGGCATGCGCCACCACACCCAGCTAATTCTTGTATTTTTCACAGAGACGGGGTTTCACCATTTTGGCCAGGCTGGTCTGGAGCTCCTGACCTCAGGTGATCGGCCCGCCTCAGCCACCCAAAGTGCTGGGATTACAGACGTGAGCCACCACGCCTGGCGGCTATGTTGCTTTTTTCTACCTGTTGTCTTTAATTATGAAGTTTGCATATCAAAAGTAGATTTTTGATGAGTAAAGTAATACTTTTCTCAACTAGTATCTTGCTTTGGAAATATCTGGTGGGCGGAATCAGTAATTTAGTAAAAAGACCGATGAGTCATCAATATTTGTACAAACACTTTTTATTATGAGAGCAACTGAAGGCATGTACTTAGAATTTATTTGCTTTTGTTGTAGACAGAATTTGAACAAGCTATGTTTTCTGCCGTCCATCCTACAGCCAGTTGAAGGCAGGTACTTGGTACCAGTGAAGAGATGGGAGGGAGCCTGACGGGAGGAAAGACAGATGAATTAAAAACAACGACAGGCCGGGCACTGTGGCTCACGCCTTTAATCCTGGCACTTTGGGAGGCCGACACAGGTGGATCATGAGGTGGGAGAGCCAGACCATCCTGGCCAACGTGGTGAAACCCCGTCTCTACTAGAAATACAAAAATAAGCTGGGCGTGGTGGCGGGCGCCTGTAGTCCCAGCTACTCAGGGGGGCTGAAGCAGGAGAATCGCTTGAACCTGGGAGGCGGAGGTTGCAGTGAGCCGAGCCACTGCACTCCAGCCTGGCGACAGAGTGACACTCCGTCTCAAAAAAAAAAAAAAAAAAACAATGACAAAGAAACAACCACAAGTGCTCACAGAGCACAGCAGTTTTGGGCTAATAATCCTTCACATTGAAATGGCTCCTGAAGGCATGGATAACAATTAAATTTTGATGAAGACCTTGAATCCTTGAATCACCTGGAAAAATTGAAAGCATTTGGTTTCCCTTGTTTTAAAAGGAAGGAGATTAGATAATGCATTTGAAAATTTATATTCAAGATGGTTAAAATAGGGCAAAGTTTGCCATCTAAGTCTTGTAGGCTCTAATTATCTGGAAAAAATACCTGGGTGGGTGAATGATCAGAATAATGAGATAATCTCCTGTATAAATAATTATTGCAGTGATCTCTGTGGAATTTCATAGCATACATTCAACGTTGAATCAAAAAAAAAAAAAAAAAAGAGGGAATTAGGTGACTCCCAGAGAGAGGCAAGTGAGGTGTGGTCTCATGAGATTCTGGTGAACTTATTTCATCTTCTCTTGGCCTCTCTCACTGGGTGATGTGCATGTGGCCTTTTCCCTCTGCCCCCAGGACTGCCCTCCAGATGCAGAAGATTTCAGAGCCCAGCAGTGCTCAGCCTACAATGATGTCCAGTATCAGGGGCATTACTATGAATGGCTTCCACGATATAATGATCCTGCTGCCCCGTGTGCACTCAAGTGTCATGCACAAGGACAAAACTTGGTGGTGGAGCTGGCACCTAAGGTACTGGATGGAACTCGTTGCAACACGGACTCCTTGGACATGTGTATCAGTGGCATCTGTCAGGTAAGCACACTTACCTCCCAATCCCCTGCTTTGGGGATGTGCCACGCCTACTGTCAATAAACAGAACCCTTTTCTTCTGTATTTTTGTTCATGCAGATGTAAATATTGCTATTGGCCAGGTACGGTGGCTTACACCTATAATCCCAGTTTTGTATTTTTATACAGCAAATACAAATACAAATTGTATTTGTATCCCAATTTTGTATTTTTAGTATAGATGAGGTTTCATTATGTTGGCCAGGCTGATCTCAAACTCCTGATCTCAGGTGATTCGCCTGCCTCAGCCTCTCAAAGTGCTGGGATTACAGGCATGAGCCACCGCGCCGGGCCATCGATTAGTGATTCTCTAACTTGAACAAGCATCAGAGTCACCTGGAGGGCTTGTGATAACAGAGTGTTGGGCTCATCCCCCGGAGTTTCTGATTCAGTAGGTAAAAGGGATGGGGCCCAAAGATTTGCATTTCTAACAAGTTCTCTGGAGATACTGAAGCTGTGGGTCTGGGGAATACACTTTGAGAACCGCTGTTTTGGAAGAGTAATACTAGAGAGTCTCTTATTAAATTAAGCTTTCTTATTAAAATTAATTCATTGTTTTGGATCTTTGGGCACAATGATTTATTTACTGAAAACTAACATGAATGCATTCCAGCAGATTTTTCAGAGTGGTCTCTGCAGAGCTGTGACAAATGTGACTGAGACATAAACCCCAGTGGCTTTTAATGAGTATAAGGATTCAAGACACTTTAGGCCGGGTATGGAGGCTCACCCTGTAATCCCAGCACTTTGGGAGGCCGAGGTGGGTGGATCACTTGAGGTCAGGAGATCAAGACCAGCCTGGCAACATGGTGAAACCCCATCTCCACTAAAAATACAAAAATTAACTGGGTGTGATGGTGTGTGCCTGTAATTCCAGCTACTAGGGAGGCTGAGGCGGGAGAATCACTTGAACCCAGGAGGTGGAGATTGCAGTGAGCCAAGATCACGCCACTGCACTCCAGTCTGAGTGACAGAGCGAGACTGTCTCAAAAAGAAAAAAAAAAATTAAAAAGACACTATGACAGGTTGTGAGACAGGGATGGCAGGGAAATTATAGGATTCTGCATCTATTCTTTTGACTTCTGAAAAATATTTTTTTTTTTCCAAATGTGAGCAGAGGTTATTTTATTCTTTCCTTTCACTTACTGTCTGTCTCCCTGAGTTTCTTTTTTTTTTTAATTGATCATTCTTGGGTGTTTCTCGCAGAGGGGGATTTGGCAGGGTCATAGGACAATAGTGGAGGGAAGGTCAGCAGATAAACAAGTGAACAAAGGTCTCTGGTTTTCCTAGGCAGAGGACCCTGCGGCCTTCCGCAGTGTTTGTGTCCCTGGGTACTTGAGATTAGGGAGTGGTGATGACTCTTAACGAGCATGCTGCCTTCAAGCATCTGTTTAACAAAGCACGTCTTGCACCGCCCTTAATCCATTTAACCCTGAGTGGACACAGCACATGTTTCAGAGAGCACAGGGTTGGGGGTAAGGTCACAGATCAACAGGATCCCAAGGCAGAAGAATTTTTCTTAGTACAGAACAAAATGAAAAGTCTCCCATGTCTACCTCTTTCTACACAGACACGGCAACCATCCGATTTCTCAATCTTTTCCCCACCTTTCCCCACTTTCTATTCCACAAAACCGCCGTTGTCGTCATGGCCCGTTCTCAATGAGCTGTTGGGTACACCTCCCAGACGGGGTGGTGGCCGGGCAGAGGGGCTCCTCACTTCCCAGTAGGGGCGGCCGGGCAGAGGCGCCCCTCACCTCCCGGACGGGGCGGCTGGCCGGGCTGGGGGCTGACCCCCCCAACTCCCTCCCGGATGGGGCGGCTGGCCGGGCAGAGGGGCTCCTCACTTCCCAGTAGGGGCGGCCGGGCAGAGGCGCCCCTCACCTCCCGGACGGGGCTGCTGGCCGGGCGGGTTGCTGACCTCCCCCACCTCCCTCCCGGACGGGGTGGCTGGCCGGGCAGAGGGGCTCCTCACTTCCCAGTAGGGGCGGCCGGGCAGAGGCACCCCTCACCTCCCGGACGGGGCGCCTGGCCGGGCGGGGGGCTGACCCCCCCACCTCCCTCCCAGACGGGGCGGCTGGCCTGGCGGGGGCTGACCCCCACCTCCCTCCCGGACGGGGTGGCTGCCGGGCGGAGACGCTCCTCACTTCCCAGACGGGGTGGCTGCTGGGCGGAGGGGCTCCTCACTTCTCAGACGGGGCGGCTGCCGGGCGGAGGGGCTCCTCACTTCTCAGACGGGGCGGCTGCCGGGCGGAGGGGCTCCTCACTTCTCAGACGGGGCGGCTGCCGGGCGGAGGGTCTCCTCACTTCTCAGACGGGGCGGTTGCCGGGCGGAGGGTCTCCTCACTTCTCAGACGGGGCGGTTGCCAGGCGGAGGGTCTCCTCACTTCTCAGACGGGGCGGCCGGGCAGAGACGCTCCTCACCTCCCAGACGGGGTTGCGGCCGGGTAGAGGCGCTCCTCACATCCCAGACGGGGCGGCGGGGCAGAGGCGCTCCCCACATCTCAGACGATGGGCGGCCGGGCAGAGACGCTCCTCACTTCCTAGATGGGATGGTGGCCGGGAAGAGGCACTCCTCACTTCCTAGATGGGATGGCGGCCGGGCAGAGACGCTCCTCACTTTCCAGACTGGGCAGCCAGGCAGAGGGGCTCCTCACGTCCCAGACGATGGGCGGCCAGGCAGAGACGCTCCTCACTTCCCAGATGGGGTGGCGGCCGGGCAGAGGCTGCAATCTCGGCACTTTGGGAGGCCAAGGCAGGCGGCTGGGAGGTGGAGGTTGTAGCGAGCCGAGATCACGCCACTGCACTCCAGCCTGGGCACCATTGAGCACTGAGTGAAGCAGACTCCGTCTGCAATCCCGGCACCTCGGGAGGCGGAGGCTGGCGGATCACTCGCGGTTAGGAGCTGGAGACCAGCCCGGCCAACACAGCGAAACCCCGTCTCCACCAAAAAAATACGAAAACCAGTCAGGCGTGGCGGCGCGCGCCTGCAAATTGCAGGCACTCGGCAGGCTGAGGCAGGAGAATGAGGCAGGGAGGTTGCAGTGAGCCGAGATGGCAGCAGTACAGTCCAGCTTTGGCTTGGCATCAGAGGGAGACCGTGGGGAGAGGGAGAGGGTGAGGGAGAGGGTGAGGGGGAGGGGGAGGGAGAGGGAGAGCTGAAAAATATTTTTAAAAAATAATGAATGTGTCTAGTATTTCACCTACCCTATTCTGCTCATAACAAAAACAATAGTAACAACAGCAGATGAGCAACCTGACCACCTGCTAAGTGTGGGGCACTACCAGGAGCTTCAGACTTAAAGTGCTCAAAGGTGAACCTTCATCCTGCTTTTCAAACTAGCTTCAACTTTGTTCATCCCTTTATCTAGAAAATGGCTTCTAGTTGCTTATCCCAAAACTTTGACATCATTCTTGCTTTTCTTTCAACCCACACATTTGATCCATTGCCACGTCCTGTCAATTTTCCCTCCCAAAGATTACTTTTAATTTAGCACGTCTTTCCATCTTTACTGCCTTTCTTGTAGCCTAAGTCCTTATTAGCTAATCTAAACTGCATTAACAGCTTTCTGTTCTGTTCTCCGAGCTCCCACCATGATTCCCTCCAGTCTGTTCTTCACACAGCAGCCAAAGTGATTATGTTAAAAGGTAATTCAGAGCTTGTCATTCTTGCATTCCTCAAAGCCCTTCAATGGCTTGTCCTTGCATTAATGATGAAATTGAGGATTCTTGTCTATCTCCTTTAGGCTCTTCCTACACTATCCACCTCCCTGCCCTTTTAAAACAGACTCCATTTCCTTCTTCTTCTTCCTCTTCTTCTTCTTCTTCTTCTTCTTCTTCTTCTTCTTCTTCTTCTTCTTCTTCTTCTTCTTCTTCTTCTTCTTCTTCTTCTCCTCCTCCTCCTCCTCCTTCTCCTTCTTCTTCCTCTTCTTTCTTCTTTCTTCCTTCTTTCTTTTTTTCTTTTTCTTTTTTTTTTTAAAGAGACAGGGTCTCATCTGTCACCCAGGTTGGAATACAGCAACATGATCATGCCTCATTGCAGACTCATCCTCCTGGGCTCAATCGATCCTCCTGCCTCAGCCTCCCACGTAGCTGGGACTAAAGGCATGTGCCATCACGCTCAGCCAGTTTTTTGCTTGATTTTTGTAGAGATGGGGGTCTCGCTATGTTACTCAGCTGGCCTTGAGCCTCCCAAAATACTGGCATTACAGGCTTGAACCACCATACCTGGCCTGACTCCATTTTTTAGAGCAATTTTAGATTCACAACAAAATTTAGTGGAAGGTGGAATTTTCCCATAGGACCCCCCTGCTTCCTTAAACGCACAGCCTCCCCTACTATCAACATTCCCCACTAAAGTGATACAGTTATTACAGTCGATGAACCTACACTGACACATCATAATCACCCAAAGTTCATAGTTTACATTAGGCCTCACTCTTGGTGTTGTAAATTCTATGAGTTTGGACAAATGTATAATGACATGTATCCACTATTATAGTATAATGCAGAGTAGTTTCACTGACCTAAAAATCCTCTATGCTTTGCTCTTTCATCCCTCTCTCCTCGCTAACCCCTGGCAACCATGGATCTTTTTACTGTCTCCATAGTTTTTGCCTTTTCCGGAATGTCACAGAGTTGGAATCATATAGTATGTAGCCTTTTCGGATTGGATTCTTTCATGTAATAATATATTATACATTTAAGTTTCCTCAGTGTCTTTTCATGGCTTGATAGCTCATTTCCTTTTTTTAATTTAAAAAATTTAAGATAAAAAATTAAATTAATGGAATGTTTCACAAATTTGCATGTCATCTTGGCGCAGGGGCCATGCTAATCATCTCTGTATCATTAGCATTGTATCATAAAATTGTATCATACCAATTTTAGAATATGTGCTGCCAAAGTGAGCACAATAGCTCATTTCCTTTTCACACTGAATAATATTCCCTTGTCTGGATGTACCACAGTTTATCCATTCACCTGCTGAAGGACACTTTGGTTGCTTTCTACTTTTGGCAACCAAAAGTAGACTTTTGACAAAAGGTCAAAGCTTACCATATAATTCTTCCATTTTATAAACCGTCTATTGTTCCCCATTATTGCCATCAGTTAAGGTTTGGGCTCTTTGACCAAATGATAATAGTAATCCTTCTCAGTGGGATTATGCTGTTGTTTTCCAAGTTCTTGACAATGATCATGCATTGTTTTTATAATTAAAATGAATTGTTATTAAAAGCAATTTAGGTTGGGCGCATTGGCTTCTGCCTATAATCACAACACTTTGGGAGGCCAAGACAGGAGAGTTCGTTAAGCCTAGGAGTTCGAGACCAGCCTGGGCAACATGGGGAAACCTCGTTTCTACAAAAACTTTTTAAAAATTAGCTGGGTGTGTTGGCGCAAGCCTATGGTCCTAGCTACTTGCTACTCAGGTACCTGAGGCAAGGATTCGCTTGAGTCCAGGTAGTCGAGGCTGCACTGAACTATGATTGTACCACTGTACTCCAGCCTATGATAGGGTGAGACCCTGTTTCTAAAAAATAAAAATATAAATAAATAAAAGGAATTTAGTCTGGCCTCAAGGAGCGCTCTCTGGATAAGGTGATGTTTGGACACTGAGGTTTTGAAAAGTTGAGTAAAAGTTAGATAAACCAAGGTGAGGAAGAGAATGACAAGCAGAAGGGACAGGAATGTAACAGCAGGTGCAGATGTGTTTAAGGTCCAGGAGTGCATTCTGTAGAGTTGAGGTGAGAATACCCATGGAATAGTGCTAGGAGATGAGGCTACCAGTGGAGGTGGGAAACCAATCATTAACTTATTCTGAAAGTAGAGAGAGGAGCTGTTTCATAATTTTATAAAGAATTTGGGCTTGTCTTTAGAAAGGTCATTTCAGTGGCAAAGTGGCAGATTATTTGCAGAGGACAGGATCTAGCCAAACAGTAGAAGGTCAAGTATGGGATAACAAGAGCTTAAAATAAGGCAAGAGGTAGGATGAATTAAATGGAGACAAATTCTAAAGATTAAGGATGTATTTTTTTTTTGAGACAGGGTCTTGCTTTGTTGTCCAGGCTGGAGTGTAATGGTGTGGTTACAGCTCACTGTAGCCTTGGGCTCCTGGGCTCAAGTAATCCTCCCAACCTAGTCTGCACTCCACCCCTAAGTAGCTGGGACTACAGTAATGTTCCACCATGCTAGGATAATTTTTATTTTTTACATTTTTTGTAGAGATCAGGTCTCACTATGTTGCCCAGGCTGATCTCCAAGTCCTGGCTTCAAGCAACTTTCCTACCTTGGCCCCTCACAACACTGGGGTTATAGACATGAGCCACTGAGCCTGGCCCTGGAAGCAGATCTTTTTTTTTTTTTTTTAATTTTTATCAAACCATGCTTTATAGCACAGGTACAATTTTTTATTTCTTTTTTTATAGGACTTTTAAAAAAATTATACTTTAAGTTCTAGGGTACATGTGAACAACGTGCAGGTTTGTTACATATGTATACATGTGCCATGTTGGAATGCTGCACCCATTAACTCGTCATTTACATTAGGTATATCTCCTAATGCTATCCCTCCCCCCTCCCCCCACCCCACAACAGGACCCGGTGTGTGATGTTCCCCTTCCTGTGTCCAAGTGTTCTCATTGTTCAGTTCCCACCTATGAGTGAGAACATGCGGTGTTTGGTTTTTCGTCCTTGCGATAGTTTGCTGAGAATGATGGTTTCCAGCTTCATCCATGTCCCTACAAAGGACATGAACTCATCCTTTTTTATGGCTGCATAGTATTCCATGGTGTATATGTGCCACATTTTCTTAATCCAGTCTATCATTGATGGACATTTGGGTTTGTTCCAAGTCTTTGCTTTTGTGAATAGTGCCGTAATAAACATACGTGTGCCTGTGTCTTTATAGCAGCATGATTTATAATCCTTTGGGTATATACCCAGTAATAGGATGGCTGGGTCAAATGGTATTTCTAGTTCTAGATCCCTGAGGAATTGCCACACTGACTTCCACAATGGTTGAACCAGTTTACAGTTCCACCAACAGTGTAAAAGTGTTCCTATTTCTCCACATCCTCTCCAGCACCTGTTGTTTCCTGACTTTTTAATGATCGCCATTCTAACTGGTGTGAGATGGTATCTCATTGTGGTTTTGATTTCATTTCTCTGATGGCCAGTGATGATGAGCATTTTTTCATGTGTCTGTTGGCTGTATAAATGTCTTCTTTTGAGAAGTGTCTGTTTATATCCTTTGCCCACTTTTTGACTGGGTTGTTTGTTTTTTTCTTGTAAATTTGTTTTGAGTTCTTTGTAGATTCTGGATATTAGCCCTTTGTCAGACGAGTAGATTGCGAAAATTTTCTCCCATTCTATAGGTTGCCTGTTCACTCTGATGGTAGTTTCTTTTGCTGTGCAGAAGCTCTTTAGTTTAGTTAGATCCCATTTGTCAAGTTTGGCTTTTGTTGCCATTGCTTTTGGTGTTTTGGACATGAAGTCCTTACCCATGCCTATGTCCTGAATGGTATTGCCTAGGTTTTCTTCTAGGGTTTTTATGGTTTTAGGTCTAACATTTAAGTCTTTAATCCATCTTGAATTAATTTTTGTATAAGGTGCAAGGAAGGGATCCAGTTTCAGCTTTCTACATATGGCTAGTCATTTTTATTTTTGCCAGCACCATTTATTAAATAGAGAATCCTTTCCCCATTGCTTGTTTTTGTCAGGTTTGTCAAAGATCAGATGGTTGTAGATGTGTGGTATTATTTCTGAGGGCTCTGTTCTGTCCCATTGGTCTATATCTCTGTTTTGGTACCAGTACCATGCTGCTTTGGTTACTGTAGCCTTGTAGTATAGTTTGAAGTCAGGTAACGTGATGCCTCCAGCTTTGTTCTTTTGGGTTAGGATTGTCTTGGCAATGCAGGCTCTTTTTTGGTTCCATATGAACTTTAAAGTAGTTTTTCCAATTCTGTGAAGAAATTCTGTGAAGAAGATTGGTGGCTTGATGGGGATGGCATTGAATCTATAAATTACCTTGGGCAGTATGGCCATTTTCACGATATTGATTCTTCCTATCCATGAGCATGGAATGTTCTCCCATTTGTTGTGTCCTCTTTTATTTCGTTGAGCAGTGGTTTGTAGTTCTCCTTGAAGAGGTCCTTCACATCCCTTGTAAGTTGGATTCCTAGGTATTTTATTCTCTTTGAAGCAATGGTGAATGGGAGTTCACTCATGATTTGGCTCTCTGTTAGTCTGTTATTGGTGTATAAGAATGCTTGTGATTTTTGCACATTGATTTTGTATCCTGAGACTTCACTGAAGTTGCCTATCAGCTTAAGGAGATTTTGGGCTGAGACGATGGGGTTTTCTAAATATACAATCATGTCATCTGCAGACAGGGACAATTTGACTTCCTCTTTTCCTAATTGAATACCCTTTATTTCTTTCTCCTGCGTGATTGCCCTGGCCAGAACTTCCAACACTATGTTGAATAGGAGTGGTGAGAGAGGGCATCCCTGTCTTGTGCCAGTTTTCAAAGGGAATGCTTCCAGTTTTTGCCCATTCAGTATGATATTGGCTGTGGGTTTGTCATAGATAGCTCTTATTATTTTGAAATACATCCCATCAATACCTAATTTATTGAGAGTTTTTAGCATGAAGGTTGTTTAATTTTGTCAAAGGCCTTTTCTGCATCTATTGAGATAATCATATGGTTTTTGTCTTTGTTTCTGTTTATATGCTGGATTACGTTTATTGATTTTCATATGTTGAACCAGCCTTGCATAGCAGGGATGAAGCCCACTTGATCATGGTGGATAAGTTTTTTGATGTGCTGCTGGATTTGGTTTGCCAGAATTTTATTGAGGATTTCTGCATCGATGTTCATCAGGGATATTGGTCTAAAATTCTCTTTTTTGGTTGTGTCTCTTCCAGGCTTTGGTATCAGGATGATGCTGGCCTCATAAAATGAGTTAGGGAGGATTCCCTCTTTTTCTATTGATTGGAATAGTTTCAGAAGGAATGGTACCAGCTCCTCCTTGTACCTCTGGAAGAATTCGGCTGTGAATCCATCTGGTCCTGGACTTTTTTTGGTTGGTAGGCTATTAATTATTGCCTCAATTTCAGAGCCTGTTATTGGTCTATTCAGAGATTCAACTTCTTCCTGGTTTAGTCTTGGGAGGGTGTATGTGTCCAGGAATTTATCCATTTCTTCTAGATTTTCTAGTTTATTTGCGTAGAGCTGTTTATAGTATTCCCTGATGGTAGTTTGTATTTCTGTGGGATCGGTGGTGATATCCCCTTTATCATTTTTTATTGCGCCTATTTGATTCTTCTCTCTTTTCTTCTTTATTAGTCTTGCTAGCAGTCTATCAATTTTGTTGATCTTTTCAAAAAACCAGCTCCTGGATTCTTTGATTTTTTGAAGGTTTTTTTATGTCTCTATCTCCTTCAGTTCTGCTCTGATCTTAGTTATTTCTTGCCTTCTGCTAGCTTTTGAATGTGCTTGCTCTTGCTTCTCTAGTTCTTTTAATTGTGATGTTAGGGTATCAATTTTAGATCTTTCCTGCTTTCTCTTGTGGGCATTTAGTGCTATAAATTTCCCTCTACACACTGCTTTAAATGTGTCCCAGAGATTCTGGTATGTTGTGTCTTTGTTCTCATAGGTTTCAAAGAACATCTTTATTTCTGCCTTCATTTCCTTATGTACCCAGTAGTCATTCAGGAGCAGGTTGTTCAGTTTCCATGTAGTTGAGTGGTTTTGAGTGAGTTTCTTAATCTTGAGTTCTAGTTTGATTGCACTGTGGTCTGAGAGACAGTTTGTTATCATTTCTGTTCTTTTACATTTGCTGAAGAGTGCTTTACTTCCAGCTATGTGGTCAATTTTGTAATAAGTGTGATATGGTGCTGAGAAGAATGTATATTCTGTTGATTTGGGATGGAGAGGAAACAGATCTTTTACGGCTGAATGTTTGGTTGGATGTGGGGAGTGAGAGAATGATATTTAGATTTCTGATATCATGATTAAGTAGATAGATAGTGAGACCATTCATCAAGACAAAATATTGGGTGAGAACAGGGGGCATGGGGCAAAGGTGATGAGCTGGGCGTGCCTGTCAATCTAAGTTGATGTTTGAATTTAGAGCTTAGGAGAGAAATCTAGACTAGAAATATAGATCTGGGGCTCTCACATGGTTAAATCTAATGATCTAATGTCATTGGGGACTGAGTAAGAAGGACAGGTTGTACTCTCAAGTACAGAGTCCTGGTGCCCATAATTGAAGGAACTAGCACAGGGAGAGGTGCCCCTGATGGGGACTGAACAGAATAGCTTTCTATATAGTAGCGAGACCATGAAAAACGGAAGATAAGGGCGGGTGAGCATTTAAGAAGGCCGGTTAGCAGTGGCACATACTTCAGAGAAGTCAAGAGCAGTAAGAACTGAAATCCACCCACTTCATTTTGACTAAAGATCACTGGCAACAGCTGGCACAGCCTCAGTGTGGTGTTGGAGTAGGCACTGGCAGGGGATGCAGGATGCATTAGTTTCCTGTGGCAGCTGTGACAAATTACCACAAATTTGGTGGCTTAAAACAACAGAAGTTTATTTTCTCACACTTCTAGAGGCCAGAAGTTTAAAATCAGGGTATCAGCAGGGTTGGTTCTTGGCTGGAGGCTCTGAGGGAGAATCCATTCCTTGCCTCTCTTCCAGCTTCTGGTGCTGGAATTTGGGCTTGTCTTTAGAAAGAGCCCATTTGCAGGAGGCCAGACTGGGAGCAGCAGGTGGGCAGGATGGAGGGAAAAGAGGAGGGTGGGTGACTTTAAAACTTAAGCTTCATTAACTTTCTGGTAAATCCACGAATGAACAAGAATATATGTTGCCAAGTGGGTGGGTGGGTGGAGTATTGATTTAGATGTAGAAATATACAACTAATGAAGTAAAGTTTGGGCTAATCAAAAGAGTTGATAGGCAGAAACAAAGGGGACAGATTTTTGTGCCAATGATTTTTGGTGTTCCTTGCTTGTGGAAGCATCACTCTAATCTCTGCCTTCGTCTGCACCTTACCTCCTCTTGTCTATCTCTATGTTTTCCCCTCCTTTCATAAGGACACCTTCCTATTATTTCATCTCAACATCCTTAATTACATTTGCAAAGATATTTTTCCACATATGGTCACATTCACAGGATCTGGGTGCCATGTCTTTTTTTGGGGGGAGTGCACAAGTCAACCCACTACACATGGTAAGGAATGAATAGGCTGAAATGAGTAGGGATGATGAGCATAAACCCCCTTTTCAAAAAGTATGAATCAGAAGAATAGAGGGAAAGATACAACTACAGCCAGAGGGGATGTCAGGTTCAGGAAGAATGTCTTCAAGATCAGAGATACTTGGAAAAGCACTGGAGCAGATGCAGTTTTTAGGGTACCTGAAGCATATGTAATTAGAAGTGCCCTCTTTATTTATTAACTTTTGAGACAAAGTCTCTCTCACCCAGGCTGGAGTGCAGTGGTGCTATCATGGCTCATTGCAGCCTTGACCTCCTGGGCTCAAGTGATTCTCCCATCTCAACCTCTTGAGTAGCTGGGACTACAGGTGTGCCACCACTGGCTAATTTATGGCAGATTCTTCCGTAGAAATCCTTCCCAGTTGCAGCCCAGCTTCCCCTCCCCACCTCAAATACTTCAATTCCCCACAACTCTAAGCATTTGTGGGAGCCCAGACTGGGAACAGCAGGTGGGCAAGACAGAGGGAAAAGGAGAGAGTGGTTGACCCTGAAACTTAAGCTTCATTAACTTCATGGTAAATCCATGAATGCGCAAGGATATATGTTGCCAGGCAGGTGGGTGAGTGGAGTATTGACTGAGAGGTAGAAATATACAATGAATGCAGTGAAGTTCCTGGGCTCTTCAAAGGAGTTGATAACAGAAACAAAGGAGACAGATTGCTCGTGGACAAGGAGGAGGGACACCTTTTCCCTTGAGGCAGGTAGGAAGGGGTAAATATGGGCCACTGATCAGTTTGGTATGGGAATGGACAGGAAGGTGAGATATTGTTTGATGGCCTCAATTGAGTGAAATATAAAGCAAAGGCATCTTTTTTTGCCTGCAGTCAACATGAGCTTTTATTTGCCTGCAGTCAACATGAGCTCCCCTTCCCACATTTACCCTTCTGCTCACTACTCGCCACCCCCTGTTCTTATTAATGGTCTAAATCCAGTTGCTTAGTTGACTCCAGGAGTTTCCAGGGTTTAAAGGGGCTTGCAGGATAAAGGTGGTTTCAGTATGAATTAGTGCATTTTAAATGAGTGCTTCTAATCACGTTTTTGTGATGCTACTGAGTAAGCCAGTTCTTTGGGTGATGAGGAGTGATACCCTGGTTGCTGAAAGCTGGATGCTCTTTTGGCTAGGTGATTTGAATTAAATAATTATGTGTTCTTCCTCGGAAGTGACTTAGACACTTCTTGGTAGAATTCAGTATCTTTCCTTCAGCAGGATAATGTTCACATAAATTGCCTTTCTTGTGCCACGTGGCCATGGGCATCAGTTAGGCAGATTCAGTGTCTGGTGAGGGCCTACTTCCTGCTTCCTGGTGATTCTTTCTGCTTGCCCCAGGATCACTGATGTGAGCCATAATGACTACTTGGCATAGACTACACATAAGTCTTGTAAATGTCTGTATAGTTTTCTCATTTAAATGAACATGTCACAGTGCTCTTGGGAACAACTTTCCATTAACCTGAGCACAGCAGACAGCCTGAGACAGTGGTGCTCACTGAATGAAATTTGCTTCTGCTTTGGAGGTCTGATTTGTATTAGAGGCACGACCTGGTTGGTACCAGCTCTGCAGACCAAGTTTGATTTGTCATTCATGTTTATTGAATTCCCTGATAGCTGTGCAGATGAAGAAACCACTTAGAATTTAGAATAAAAATAAAAATAATAGCAACTAACACTGGGTGCTTAGCCCAGGTATCAGGCATTGTGGAAGTCCTTTACTGTTAGCTCATCATAATCCTATCAAGTAGGTACAGTATTTATTCCCCACTTTGTTGATAAGGAAACTGGAAATTGAAGAGGCTAAGTAAATTGCCCAAGTTGTACAGTATCTTAGTCAGTTTGGGCAGCTGTCACTAGCTACCATAGATTGGGTGGCATATTAACAACAGAAATTTATTTTTTACAGTTCTAGAGGCTGGGAAGTCCAAAATCAAAGTGCTGGCAGATTCAGTGTCTGGTGAGGGTCTGCTCCCTGCCTCCTGGTTCATAGAGGCTGTGTCCTCACATGGCAGAAGGGATGAGGGAGGTATCCAGGGTATTTTTTATAAGGGTACTAATCCTATTCATGAGGTCTCTACCCTCATGACCTAACCACCCCCTAAATGTTTCACCTCCTAGTACCATCAACTTGAGGGTTAGGTCTCTGCATATGAATTTTGGGTGTGGACACATTCAGTCTATAGCACATAGCTAGGAAGTGATAGAGCTGGAATTTGAACCCAGGCAACCTAATTCCAGAATCCAATTTCTTAATTATTGGGCTATACTGATGATACTTTTTATATTGGTACAAGTGTAGCTGAAGTTTGTAACTGAAAATGAGATATAATTCGGTAAAGAACAGTCAGTTCAACAGATGATTCATGCTTAGATGGCTTAGTACGGGGATTAAAACTCAGATGTCTACATACTGCCCCAGAGAGAAACTGCCCAGATGTAGTCACATTGGCTGGTGACTGTAGTGGTGAACTGGAGGATACATGCTCATTGTGAAGGGAGCAACTATGTATAAACATGTCGGAAGTTTTGTTTTGTTTTGTTTTTGTTTTTGTCAAGAGAAGCCAGAAAACTGGATTTTAATGTGAAACTTCCAATTTTAAAAATCGTCTTCCTGTTAATAACCGTGCTTTATCCATTAATGGTTAAATTATAGTCCTGTATAGTATAGGCTGGGTTTTCCTGCAGTAACCAACAACACCCAAAGCTCAGTAGCTTAAAACAATTAAAGGTTACTTCTTGCTGATGCCACTTGCCCAACAGTGGTTGACAGGAGCCTCAGCTCTTAGAACGTCTCGGAGACTCAGGCTTTATTTGGACACATTTTTTACATAATAACTGCAATAGTGCAAGGGGAACATGAGACTCAGACACTGACCCTTAAATCTTCTTATAGAAGTGACACAGATCAATCACTTAGACTCATATTTCATTGGCCAAAGTTAGTTAATGACCACACCTAACTTCAAAGGGGGTGGAGAAGTGCAGACCTTCTGTGGGCTGAAGCAAAATGTTTCTGAGTATCCCCACTGACTACCACAGCTCCATATACTCTGATTTTTAAGGCAGAAATGTCAGATTTTTCCCCCAAGTTAGATTCTGATTTGCAGAGATTTCAAACGGTTGATTTAAAAAAAAAATTGTTTTGTTCTTGAATGATTAAATTTGACTGCTCTGAAAAATTCATATTTTGCTTCATTTGGACTAGTGCCACTTATTTAAGTATTATCATCTTTTAGCTGATTAGGAAATCATATGCAGGAACTGTGAAATAATTTTTAGCTGAAGTGATGATTTATAGATGAATATTTATTCCAAAAAGCACTACTCATATATTTTAAATATTTGTTTATGTCATCCACTATCTTGTGTAACTTGTCTCATTAACTACACTGTAAGGTAAGAATCTTATGTTATTAATTTATGCTCTGTAGTGTCTGGCAGTATAGAAAATGGTTATTTAATAGATGTTAATAAATTTTATTGATATATCTGTCAATTAGTAGTTAATAAATCACTATAATTAGAGATCATGACTTCAGATGATGTCATAGAAGTTGGAAACACTTCAGGCAATTTTTTAGAAGTTGCTTATTGTTGGGCCGGGCGCTGTGGTTCACGCTTGTAATCCCAGCACTTTGGGAGGCCAAGGCGGGCAGATCACGAGATCAGGAGATCGAGACCATCCTGGCTAACACAGTGAAACCCTGTCTCTACTGAAAATACAAAAAATTAGCCGGGCATGGTGGCGGGTAGCTGTAGTCCCAGCTACTCGGGAGGCTGAGGCAGGAAAATGGCGTGAACCCAGGAGGCAGAGCTTGCAGTGAGCTGAGATTGCACCACTGCACTCCAGCTTGGGCGGCAGAGCAAGACTCTGTCTCAAAAAAAAAAAAAAAAAAAGTTGCTTATTGTTGATTATGATGGGATATGAAAGCCAAAATTCAGTGGCCCCTCAATTTCAAAGGCATTTCTGGCTTATTCGTTATGAATCACAAGGCAAGACTTTCTTTTCAAATATCATTTTTCTGTGATGTTTTCACATGCTTTATTTTGCTATAACATTTGGATGAATTGTAACTTAAAAAAAATTATGAAGCAAATATCAGTGCTCAGGGAGGTATTCAATTGCCTGAGATCTTGCAAGGCCTTAAACACTCTTCAAAACAAGCCCCTCCTAGCTCCTAAGCCCACGCCCTTCCTGGATGACCAGATAGAGAGTGATTCTCATTCTCATGAAATGCAGAGTGCTCAGGGACATGAATGTGTGAGGACAGAGTTTGGCCCAGGAGCAGTGTTTCTATAATTTAATAGTGGTATTACTCCCCTTGGAGAAAGTTGCATGAACACAAGTTACTCATTGATTGAATCTTGACCATGCAAGTGTGTTTCCAAAATCAATCACTCTTAAGTTGTTCCACATGTACTTGTAAATGTTAATTTAATGGCCTGTGTAACTGGGCTTTTGTTGTTGTTGTCTATCTGCTGATACTTAAGGTAGAGGAAGTTGTAATGTAGTGTTAAGATTCTGAGTCAGATAACTTGGGTTTTAAAACCATTACCAACACTATATACTAGCTGTGTAATATTGGCAAATCATTTACTCAGTAATGTTTAGATTCCTTATTTATAAAATAGAGTTAAAGGTATCACCTCATGACAAAATTGCTCTGAAGATTAAATGAAATAATGTGTACAATATTCATGGCATAATGCCAGGTACATGCTAAGCATTCAATAAAAATCAGCAATTATTAATATTGTATTACTATCTTTATAAAATCATATAATCAGGATTAAAGGATCTCAAAAGTCATTGGATTAAGCTACTCATCCAATAATTTAATCCCCCCTACAATTTTTCCACCAAGAGATCTCCTAGACTATGATTGAATACTTATTATTAGATAACTCTGACTTTTCAAACTTTCTCATATTGAACCAAATTATGCTTAAACCTGTAGCTTTCACCATTTGGAAATATACAGAACAAAAGTAGACCCTTTCCTCATGATAGCTCTTTGTGAATTTGAAAATATCTCTAATCATAAGCTATTCTCTAAACTTCCTTGAAACTTACTATCTCTCCCTGAAATTTTCACTTGATCTTTCTCTTTCCCTTCAACACCAAAATGTTGGAAAGAATTGTTATAAATAATTGTCTCAACTTCCTCTAGTTTCATTTCTTCTTCAACAGCTTGGATATAGAGTCTGATTCAACAACTCTCCAAGCTGAAGCATGAGGGCTACCCAGGAGTCAAAATAAGATGAAAAACACAGAGAAATAATAACATTGGCCCTTTTTTATTGAATCCTTTATAGTGTTTGAATCATTATACTAAGAATTTTACATATATTTTCTCACTGAATCATCACTAGGCCCTATGTGAAGTATATATTGGTATTATTATCTCTATTTTACTGTTGAGGAAAACGAGTCTCTGAGAGTTTGAATTTTTCAACATCCTGCAGCTTGAAAGGGTGGTGAGTGGATCCAGGTTTGTACGTGGGTGTTTTCTTCCTCCAAAGTCCCTGCACTTAAACACCAGATTTATAAATAAAGTTAGATGAATATGGGAAGGAAGGAAGAGATAAACCATCAGATCAGTTGATATTATTGTTGTTTACACATTATGTAAAATATATGCTTAAGAAATAAAAAAGAAATATAAGACATGACCTTTTTTCTCATATAAGGAAGCTTATAATATAGCAAATACACACACATATGTACACATGAAAAATGACAAGAGAAGGAAGGATAGCAGTATAAACACGTATTTTATATGAGACATCTCTCCTTTTAATTATTTTTTATATTTTAAAAATTGTTTATAAATATATAGGTATAATGACAGCGGTGGAGATACATAGGCATAGGTACAGCTAATGATAAAGACAAGGAGATATAAAGATATAGATAAAGACTATAGACAGATATTAATATAGGGATATAGATATTTAGAGATAGAAGTAAAAACAGAAAAAAAAAAGATATTTAAAGTAAAACTATGAACCAGAAGGTTATACATCAAATTTAGGACAGTGGTTGTTTTGGGGAGGAAATGAGAGAATAGGATAAGTGTAGGGCTGGGGAGAGAGGAAACGTCTGTAATGTTCTGTTTATTTTATATATATAAAAATGCCTGGGCTGGGCAGTGTGGTACATGCCTGTAATCCCAGCACTTTGGAAGGCCAAGGCAGGAGGATCACTTGAGCCCAGGAATTCAAGACCAGCCTGGGCAGCATAGGGAGACCCTGTCTTTACATCAAATTTTAAAAAGCTGGGTGTTGGGGCACAGGCCTGTGACTCAACCTCCCAGGCTCAAGTGATCCCAGCTACTTGGGAGGCTGAGGTGGGAGGATCACTTGAGCCCAGGAGGTTGAGGCTGCAGTGAGCCACAATCCCACTATTGCACTCCAACCTGGGCAACAGAGTGAGATCTTGTCTTGAAAAAAAAAAAAGACAGAAATCTGAATAAAAATATAAATAGAAAAGGGAGGGGTATGGAGGGACAGCTTCAAATCTTAATATTAATATTTCGGCCTTACATTAGAATCATATAAATGATACTATCCTGTAAGACATTATATTATTTAGATTTATAAAACTATGTTCTCATAAAAGAGAGCCAAACTGTAAAGTTAAGGATTACATCACAACTAAGCTTCCTGAAATGAAGAGAGCTCCCCCTCCCCTGGCTTTGGGCACCACTGACTGCCATGCTTCTGTTGGCAGGCAGTGGGCTGCGATCGGCAACTGGGAAGCAATGCCAAGGAGGACAACTGTGGAGTCTGTGCCGGCGATGGCTCCACCTGCAGGCTTGTACGGGGACAATCAAAGTCACACGTTTCTCCTGAAAAAAGTAGGTTTTAAACCCAATACGTTATTACCATCATACAAGATATATTTTAGACTGTCTATTGCTAGAATAACATTTTCTGAATGTTAAGCTTTTTTAGTTGGAAGTAGCTTTTGTACCAATTTTCTAAAAGTGAAATTTCTTCCAAGAAGTGTGTATCAAACTTTTGTTCCCATTATATCTTTGAAGAGGACCCGTTTTCTTTGAACCTTTGCCAATGCAGGGTATTACTGTTTTAAAAAAATATATTTGCCAATTTTTCAGGTAAATCATGAAATAGTAATTTCTTTTATTTGTCTTCCTTTGACTGCTAACAAGGTAGAAAATATTGTCATGTATCTATTGACCATTTATACTTTTTAATTTCTCAGTTAGCTACTGAAGCCATTTATCAATTTTCCTATTTGGATGTAGATCTTTTCCTCATTGTTGAGAGCTTTTAATATATCACCAATACTAACATTTTTTCTGTCATACCTATTTCAAATATGGTTCCAGTTTGTTAATTGACTTTCAATTTTGTGTAATTAGAGTTTCTAAGTTTCTAAGTATTATGTATTTGGAAATTTCCATCTTTTCATTTTAATAATATCTGTCCTTTAAAACATCCTTTAGTTTGGGGAATCAGTAAACTTTTTCTGTAAAGGGATGGATAATAAATATTTTAGGCTTTGCTGGCCATATAGTCTCAACTACTCAACACAGCTGTTGCAGTGTAAAAGCACACACAGACACCTGTAAATAGATCAGCATGGCTACATTCCAATGAAACTTTATTTACAAATGTAGCCTGAAGGCTGAATTTGGCCTTTAGGTTTGTTAACCGCTCCTTTAAAGGAAACAAAAATTATTCACGTATGTTTTCTGCCAGTACTTTTATGGTTTTGTTTTTCTTTATAATAATTCTTTCTGAATACCCCCTTGTTGGTGGTATTCAGTTATAAATGTAGGTGAGTTCCGCCAAAGATTTGATTTTAAATCTTTTATTCCTTTGAATTTAGTTTGATGTAACTTGTAAAGTCGGCATCTTACTTATTTTCCCAAATGGGGAAAGCATTGCGGGAGGGGTGGAGGGTTTTTCAGGCAGAGGAAACACAAAGTTCATGGCGTGACACTGGAGAAGAGTCTGGGTGTTTTGAGGAACTCCTAATATGTTGTTCAGGCCTGACTGTACATTGAATAGGGTAGAAGATAAGACAGAACGGCATTTGGAGTCAAAGCCTTCGTTATTGTGTTTTATTTTTCAGATTAAGTGGAGCCCTCAAAGCAATTTAGGCAGTGGAGTGATATGGTTAGGTTAGTGTTTTAGTAAAATAATTCTGGTGGCATATGGAGGCTGGATTACCTGTCAGATGAGCTTGGAAGCAGGTAGTCCAAATAGGAAGTGTCTTTCAAGCTATTCAAGAGTGTTTAAAATCATGAGGCCTTGATCTAGGGTAGCGTGGGAGGAAACGTAGAGGAAGGAACAGGTGGAGAGATCTTTAGCATGTAGAATGAACAGAGTTTGGTAATTCTTTGAATGACAGCTATAAGAGAAAAGAAGCAGCTAGAATGGCCCAAATTTTCCATCTTGTGCAGCTCGGTGGACATGTTTGCTATTCATTTGGGTAAGGAATTCATGAAGAGGAGACACATATCAGAGGTGAGACTCCACCTCCCTGAATTTTATTCTCTCCAAAATTTTCACCCCATAAGTATCCAATGTCTAAGTATCTTTCTGATGCCTGCAAACAGATGTTGATTATGTTTTCTTTGTGGTTGGAGGGTTTATCTGAAACATGCTAGGTTATCATGGCTGATAGCAAAACCCCTTGTTGGTGGTATTCAGTTATAAATGTAGGTGAGTTCCTCTAAAGAGAGTATGTAGAATATAAGAGGAAACCAATAATTGCATCCTGAGGAAAAGCTGAAGTCAAAGCATTTAGCCAGGGAAGAAGTTTAAGGGAATCCAACCGAGAAGGAATGAATAGAGTAAGTAGGTAAATGCAGAACTTAGCAAGAGCAGTACCATGGACCCCAAAGGAATAAGTAATTTCAAAAATGAGATGGGGGTGGCCAGCAATGTTAAATGCTTTTATGAGTTCAACTGGAATAAGGGCCCAAAAGTTTGTCTTTGGCAATTTGAAGGTCATTTGTGATGTGAACAAGAGTGATTTTGATGAACTTCAGGCTGAAATCAAAGCTTCATTGCAATGGATTGATAAGTGAAGAGAATGTATAGAGGGAAGGATTTGCTCAGGACAAGAGGAGGGGAACAGACCAACACCGTGTCAACAACTGGATAGCTCTACAGGGTTGGTTGGAGAACACCGTGAGGTGTTCCAGCCTATTGTCTTTATTTGACTCTTCATTAGGAGATAGAGTTGGCCAGTAGGAGTGAGGGCTCAGAGACTTGAGCCTGTTCCCATGAAGGAAAGAAGAAGGAACCATCAACAACAGTACAAAGATAGAGGAGTAGCTGTAAGGGCCTAGCTGAGATGGGAAACCATGAATTCATGGAGGTTCCAATTTTTGGACTTCATGAAGGAGGTGGCTTTGAATGGTGGTATACCAATGAGGAATGTATCCTACTGGAAATCACAGAAAACTCAACTTAGAAACATTGGAGTTTATAAGTCTTTTCTAACAAAAAGCCTGGAGTAGGCAGCTAAGGCTGGGGATGCTGTTTTACTGTGTCTTTCAGGAACCAGGCACCTTTCTCTCTTCTTCACATCCTTAGAGGATGGCTTTTGCCTACTTGGCTGCAAAGTCATTATTGGACATTGAGATGTTACATCCACATCCCAGATAATAAGGAAGAACATAGTGTGAAAAGCGTTTTTTTAAATACTGTGTTCTTTATCCAGGAAAGGATATTCTCCCCAGGGAATTTTGCTTCATTGACCAGAATTATGGTGTGTGACACCCTGGCTTCCAAGGAGGCAGGAAACCAAGTAGTTAGCATTCTATCCATTCTGCTATTACTAATATTGATCAAATGCTTTATAATTCCCAAAGTTCTCTTCAGACTTATCATTTAATTCTACCAGCATTCTTACATTATAATTTGGATAATGTCCTGCCTATTTTACAGATGAGGAAACTAAGGATGAGAAATGTTAAGAAACATCTCCCATAATTAATTATGAAAGGAAATATTGGGAAGTGGTTAAGAAATTGGGGTCCGGAGCCGCCAGCCTTCCAGGGTTAAGTCCTGGGTCTGTTGCTTATGAGCTGTGCAGAGTTATTTAAGTTATTTCACTTCCATGGGTATCTTGGATCTCTAATTTTAAACTGGGAATAACAACAGTACTGCCTTTGTAGAGCTGTTATCAGGATTTAAAAGATCAATCCATGTTGAGAACTCCAAATAGCGTAGTAACTAGAGAGTACTCAGTAAATGCTAGCTGCATTTTTGTTAAAAATATTACCCATTGGGATACTAAAGGATGTCACACTGATACGGGAGGGGGGGCAGGAAATTGAAGGGCGGGGTTCCTGGCTAGGGCTCCGCCCTTGGGCCTGTGCCCACTGGCCTGGGTGAGGACAGGGACTCTGAAAACAGAGTCCCTGTCCTCACACCCAAATGTTGCATTTTCCAAGGCCACTCTGGCCTGCCATGCCCCCCATTCTGTGTCTATAAAAACCCCAAGACCCTAGCAGTCACACACACAAGTGACTGGATGTTGAGAGGAACACACTGGCAGAAGAACACACAGACGCCGACAGGCCATTGACAGTGGAACGACAGAGACTCAGGGGGAAATTTGGCCGAGGGCGGACGGACGAGATCCTAGCTGCTAAGCGACCCGACTCCAGGGGAAGACCACCTTCCCACTCCATCCCCCTTCTGCCTCCCCATCCCCCTTCTGCCTTCCCATCCATCTACTGAGAGCTACCTCTACCATTCAATAAAACCTTGCACTCATTCTCCAAGCCCATGGTACTGGAAAAAATGGATCACACATGGGCTTGGAGAATGAGTGCAAAGGTTTATTGAATGGTGGAGGTAGCTCTCAGCAGATGGATGAGGAGGCAGAAGGGGGATGGAGTGGCAAGGGATACAGAAAGCGCTGCGATACCGAAAGCCCTCTGTCCTTGAGAAAAGGCAGAGGTTCTAACTGAGCTGATTAACAGAAGCCACCTGCGGACAGCTAAGCTGAAAGAGCACACTGTAACACATGCTGGAACTTTGGGAGCTGTAAACATTCAACTCTAGACGCTGCCTTGGGGTTGGAGCCCCAAGCTCCCCATAACCTGCCCGTCTGCATGCTCCCCCTAGGGGCTTGAGCTGCTGGGCACGGAAGAAGCAAGCCACTCCTCCTGTTGCATGCCCTGAGAGGGGGATAAGGGAACTTTGCCCCTTTCAATACCTCTTACATACTTTAAGTGTAAATGTGGGTATTTGTAAACATATTTGAAAATCAACAATCAGTCCGTCTGGGGATTGATTTTAAGAGAGCTACTGCTTGGTATGGAGGAAAACGTTGAAAGTGTGAAAACAGAGTGATTGTAGGACAAACCAAAGTTTTAGGACTCAGATCAGTGAACACAGTTTGAAGAGAGGCTATACTGAGAAGTGTTCATCCAGGAAGGCATGTGGATGAGGGGAGTAAGGGAGAAAGACAATAGCCAGATCCCGGTGTAATGGAAGTACGTAGAGTTAGTGTTGGCCTTAGAAAGTTTGGAAATCTCATCAGAAAATACCTCGTTTTGTCAGGGTCCAAGAAAGATTAGAACTTGAGATAATTCTAATTGAACCAGGGTAAATGCCAGATGAAATTGTGCCAAAGGGCAGTCTTATTTGGAGAAGTGTGCAGAAGAGGTACTGAAATGCAAGGTAGTTCATTATTCTCTCTCTCTCTGTCTCTTGATTTTCAGCTTTTGGATTACATATGCTTTTGAGAATCTATTAAAAGTTATGCATTTTCTTTCCAGGAAAATGCATGTGTATTTATAAGCCCCACATTTGCCATTCTGATTTTTTTGTGGGGTTCTCAGACCCCTGATGCCTGTTTAGGACATTCCAGGTTAAGAACCCCTAAAATGTCCTTTTTTTTAAAAAAAATCAATTTCTACGTAGAAAGGGGAACTGGAGGGCACAGATCCTTCAGTGCAGGGCATGAGTGACATGGTATAAGCCAGGAACATCCCACAGGATGCTGGCATGTTATCAGGTTCCGTATGCATGCGCTTGAGCTAAGGCTAAAGGTAGCAAAGATTCCTGCCTGCGTGAAAACACAGTCCTTCACCATCTTGATTCTAATTATGGCCCCATCATGTTTGTTACAGCTCTGAAACTGACCAGCTGAAGCTGTTTTTGGCTGGGATTTTTTCCCTAGGCCATATGGAAGCACTTCCCTATAATCATGCTTTGTGTGAAAGAAATGTAGGAAATGAAGCCATGTCTCCCCCTGAGTGTGCATCACTGGAGCCTGCAGAATCTACGCAGCTCCTACATCCACACCTTGCCAAGAATTCATTCCAATCTTCCCTGGGACTCACCCTGAGTCAGGACATGGCAACGAGATGCTGTTGGCACAGCCCTGCACTGGAGAATGTGCACAAGGCTGCACACAGAATATCATTTCCATCACGCAGTGAGGCAGACACAAGGTGTAAGAGCCTGGAGCCAAAACCTTTGCTATGAAAAATATCAGAAATTTATCCAGATACAACATACAGATTTCCTGTTCAGAGGGAGGAGGAGAGAGACGGAACTGACAACCAACATAAACAGCTTTGGATGTTGGAAAAGGAAACTAGAGGCCACTCAGGTATTAAAGAGAGAAAGCTGTAAAAACAACAACAAACATATCTGTTTAGAGAGTCTTGACTTGGCATTTAGAAACTTAGTTGTATTTCCAGGTTTGTTCCTTATTTTGGTCTTGTCCACATCAGGGCACACGTGTGTGAGGCAAATAAACAAGATCGGCTTGTCTATTCTAAGCTTTTTGTCCATTTTTACATGGTGGCAGCCAAGCCTATTGATACAGTGATACCTAAGGCCAACTGGGAACACCAGCATTTTGCTCAAGTTTTGGCAGTATGAAGATAAACACACACTCTTCTAATGCATTCCTTGACACAAATAGAATCCTGGGCTAGGTGGATCATGGGGCTGCCTCACAGTGTAATTCTTAAGATTTTTTCCCTTCATCCACTGTTCATTTCTCCTTTGACTGTCACTCCCAAAAACCATTTACAAATTTAACTTATTCCATAGCAAGGAAGATTGTGTAGGATATAAAGGGTCTGCTAACATGGTAACATGAATTGGTTTTCATTCTCCTGTCTTCCCACATCATCTCTTTCTACCTCCACATTCGTCTTTCTAGGGTGAGATTCTGGCTGGTCATACTCTTCTATCAGAACTGCGATTGAGAAAGGAATATTCAAACCAAAGACCCTGTTCCTTTTAATGGAATTAAAAGTTTCACCCTCCTCCATTTAATTCAGCAAGGGAGAGTGTGGCCTGGAAGGAAGACTCTGTGACTAGAAATAAAGACTCCTGGGTTCTAGTCCTTGCCTAGCTCTTTTGCATGGTTTTGTTTGTCTTCTGGCCCTGTGCATGAAGAGAGATAATGGAAAAATAGCATGTAGACTGTGTTGCAAAGGAATGTCATAGATTGTATTTTACATGGAGAAGCAGACAGACTGTGAACTCCCTGGCCTCTTCATGAATCACCTTACACCTATGATGAAATCCGCGTCCCTCTCCAAAGCCTTTAAAGCCTGTATCATCTGGCCCCTGTGTTACATCATGTGCTGCCATCTGCTCCTCATTCCCTAATCCCCAGTTACACTGGCTTTCTGGGAGATTCCAGAATGTCAGGTGCCCATTCCCCCGATGGGCCTTTGCACCGACCCATCCCTGAACCTGGACCATGTGTCTCCCTGCTCTTCAACGTAGTTACCTCTTTCTCAACGTTGAGCACAAGTGTCGCCTCCTCAGAGAGGCTTTCTTTGACCACTCTACGTAAAGTAGGCCCTTCTCTTTTCTGTTTAGTTCTTGCTTAGCCTTTAGGGAAAGAAGTGGTTATTTCATTTATTTGTCTAGTTTGCCTCTCCCACTAGTAAGCTTTGCAAGAGCAGGCACCATGTCTATGATGTCCACCATTTTATTCCTAGTGCTAGTGCAGTACTGAACACATCCTAGGAGCTCAGTTAATGTTGAACAAATGAATACATGGCCTTCGCTGGAGATGATTCTGCTTCCTGTTATGATTTCAGTGGGACTAAATGATATTGTGCAATAGAACTGGACTGGAAGCCAAAGACTGGGGTAATAACCTCAGTTTGGCCTCTGACAATCTATCTTCTTAGGCAAGATGCTTCACTTACTGCGACCTCAACTTTTTCATCTGCACAGTGAGCATGGACAATTTATAAGAAATCTTCTAGCTCTGAAAATCTATTAAGTGTGTGTAATTTGTTCATTGTTAAAAAAAAATAGATCTTAGGATTGAATGGAGTTTAGAGAAAGAAGTCCCAGGAACTTATATGAAGCAATTTTCCAAACTTTTAATAAAGGGCTTGACAGTGATGGCTTGTCTTTATTCTTAAAGGGCCCAGGAAATTTTAGATACACCACAAGAATGAGTTGGTGTGAGGTTTCCTCTTATCTCCCATGAACTGCTACTTGGTTGCCTTTTAACATGTTATTGTCACAACCTGCAAGAGGGAGGTTTAGTTTTTGCACTGACCCCCTCATTGGTATGTGAGCTCCTCAAGAACCTCATGCACCTGGCCCAGTACCTGGCACCCAGTATGTTTCCAGTAAAGGTGTGTCGACTTGACCTACACAGAATTGAAGAGCCCACTTAGACCAGCATCCCTATGGAAGCAGTCCTTGAGGAATGTGAATTAAAATCAGAAGCAGCTTATTAGTAGCCAAGCACTGCAACACCCGTGGTCACCCAGGAGACCTGACACCTGCTGACCAGCTGAGAGCACTGGGATTATTAGTAAAAATACTTATTGGGAAAATAATAGTAATAATAATGGCCCCCAGGGTTTGTATGCTTACACTGTGCTATGTATTTGTTATGTGTGACATTATTTATTCTTAACATAACCCTGCAAGGTAGGTACTACTATACCCTCCCCATTTAACAAATGGAGAAATAGGCTCAGTGAAATTAAGCACCTTGGTCAAGGTCTCACAACTGGTGAGTGGTCAAGATGGTTCTGACCTCAGAGTTCATGTGCTTAACCACCCTCCCAAAGTGTCTTCCAAGGACGGCGAGATGAGCATGAGGCGAGAGGTGCACCGAGGCTTAGAGTGGTGGGACAGGGAACAAAGATAGCACAGAAATGGAGTCAGAGGGGAGCAAAGGCTGCCTCAGCCAACCCACCCCTTGTTTCCCCTTGGCAGAGCCCAGCCAGCTCCATGGTTCCTAACCCAGGGTGCACATCAGGAGCACTTGGGGAACTTGTCCCATGTTCTAATCCTCAGGCCCCACCCTAGAATTTTGAGGGGTAAATCTGGGCAATTGCAGGTTGCCAAACTTCCCAGGTGGCCACTGGTGCATGCCTTTGGTTAACGCCTCTGCTTTTCAGTGTCTGATGCCCCACTACAGAGTCAGAAGGCAGATGACTGTTTTATCCTCACCAGCCTCCTGATTTCTTAGAGGCAGTATTATAAAGGGCAGAAAATGAGAGTTACACTATGATGCTCGAGAACATCTGGACAGATATTTGTTATTAGATGCTGTGTGACATAGTCCCATCTCCTGCATGCTGTTCCAAAGCTAGCCCTGCCAATAAGCACAGAGGCATACATTATTGGTCAGTCTGCCTGTTACCATGGTCTTTTGAGGTAAAGGCAGTTTAGGCCAGTAAATAAACATACGTCAGGTTGGGAGCAGATGTTTCTGCATAGGAGCTAAGGGCTGAAGATACTCATTTGCAGATTGAGCAATCAGAGACTTTAGTAATGTGGCCTAACAGCTCAAGGCATGCTGGTCAGTTTTCAGTTTGCAGCCGATTGTTCTCAACAAGGCAAAGCTCTGCTGTGTTCCTTCCTTCTTTTGTAAAAAATTTGCTGTTAATTTCCTACATTTGCTTTTTCTACTTTTGCTTACTGGCATACTGCATTTTTCTCACCCCCATTTGCAAAGTAGTGTATAGACAGTCCTCCAGCTGCAGAATCAGTGTTGCTACCCATTGACTTTTCCTTTTTTCGCCTTCCAAAATCCCCCACTGCTCCTACAGAATGACAGATGAGCTTGAAGCAAACCTTACTATCCTACTTTTGAAAAATTGTGCAGACCCTGTTCTGTACAATACCATGCCAGGTAACTTTTTTTTTTTTTTTTTGAGATGGAGTTTTGCTTTTGTTGCCCAGGCTGGAGTGCAATGGTGCAATCTCAGTTCACTGCAGCCTCTACCTCCTGGGTTCAAGTGATTCTCCTGCCTCAGCCTCCTGAATAGCTGGGATTACAGTCACGTGCCACCATGCCCGGCTAATTTTGTATTTTTAGTAGAGATGGAGTTTCACCATGTTGGTCAGGCTGGTCTTGAACTCCTGACTTCAGGTGATCCACTTGCATCAGCCTCCCAAAGTGCTGGGATTACAGGTGTGAGCCACCATGCCCTGCCTCGGTAACTCTTTTTAGTCTAAGTGATGACAAATAGTTATGGGTGTGTGAGGGAATTAACAAACACTTTTTTTTTTTTCAGTTTACAAAATGTTGTCACAACATTATCTCATTTTAAAAAATGCATTCCTTAAAAATAAAACCTATTTTTTTTTTGCAATTTTCTATAGGGTTCAAATTATTAGCATTAGCATGTATTTAAAAAGTTTTCTTATTTTTTAAAAAAACTACTTTATGCCTTGGGAATGGTGTGTGTGTGTGTTTGAATCTAAATAGCAGAAGGAGAAAATAAATGCAGGTTCTATAAATGTAACATGAAAAATACTCGACAGAAAATTTTGTTCAGAAAAAAAAACCCAACCAACTAAAAAAACACACACCAAAAAAATAAAAAAATAAACAAAACAAAAATAGAAAGTGGGGATGAGGTTGTCAAAGTGAGAGTCACTAAGACATCCTTTTCCTTGTTTTACCTTGGAATGTATATATTTAGGTTGATGTAGTTCCGGTTGAACTTTATAGTGAAAATAAATGATCTGATATAAATTACAGTGCTTCTGGGCTGAAACTGATGTTTATTGATTAGTTAATATTGTGTGGACAATTTATTTCCTGTACATCTTGCTACTTAGCAAAGCTGTGATATCCAGCAGGAAATGAGACATAGAAAAAATATGATGGAACAGCTGGACTTGAGCATTTATGTGTGGGAGGGAAAGTCAGTGAATCTTAGGTCAGTCCAGTGATTGCAAAATCAAACAAGTGAAACCCATAAAATGAAACTCTGTGTGATGAGTGAATTTGAGTTTATACAGCATCACTTGGTCTCATAGTAGAAGGATTTAAAAGTGTAGTTTTGGGTCCTTACCCTGGTTCTAATGCTTAGGAGCACCGTGATCTTGGGCAAGTCACTTTAACCTTATAAAATTTTAATTGTCTTAATTATAGAAATGAGTTTTCATTAGAATGAATGAGGTAACTTATCTCAAGTTTCTTAGCATGTTGCCTGGTGGCAGAGTAAGTGCTCAACATGGTTTTAATAATAACTTATACTTACCCAACGCCTAATTGGCACCAGGTTCTTTTCTAAGCCCTTTGCATATATTACCTCATTGAACACTCATAACAACCCCTTGGAACAGGTATTCCTATTCCAAGAGATTATCAAGAATCTCTTACCACCAAATTTCAATAAGACAGTTTTGGAATAATTCCAGACAATGAATGTGATCAACAGGAACCAGTTACCACCATCAACAACAAATCTAGGTGTCCCAGACATGAGCCTACTGTTAGCGACACCATAAGATGGGATGGAGAGGAAGCCTTTTCTCTCCATCTTATATGTTTTCTTTTTTAAATTAGACACGGTCGCCTAGGCTGAATGCAATAGCATAATCCTGGCTCACTGCAGCCTCGACCTTCTGGGTTCAAGGAATCCTCCTGCCTCAGCCTCTTAAGTAGCTGGCACTACAGGCATGTACCACCACACCTGGCTAATTTTTAAATTTTTTGTTGAGACAAGGTCTCACTATGTTGCCCAGGCTGATCTCAAACTGCTAACCTCAAGTGATCTCCTACCTTAACCTCCCAAAGTCCTGGGATTACAGGCATGAGCCACCACGCCCAGCCACCGTCCGCTGTGTTTTCAATAATTGGCTTATAGACCAATAGAAAATATAGGATTTCAAAGCAGGCTTAGAATCAGACCTGCTTGGCAATGCCATCTGCATTCTTCTGATAGGAGGTTTCAGGCAGTCTATACTGAGCTTGTGCTGAACCACAAGCAGCAGTCTGCTCTTTCTTACTGTACTTACAATTGCTTCCTCTCTTTATCATCGCCTCCAGCTCCAGGTCTACCTCCAGGCCAAGGGGGTCCTTTACCAGGAGGCCATTTGTCTGCAATTTATGAATGGCCCATTCTGAAGGGTAAGATAAAGAAAGCGTGGGTAATAGTCTTTGTATCAGTGCAAGTAGAATTTCAAGCAAAAATACAAAATGAGTACTTTGTTGATAATCAAAAAACAAATAGTTTGAAGAATTTGTGAACCAAATGCCATTACATCAAAATATGTAAAGAAAAATCCCCTGTAGTTATATAAGATGAAATTGAAATCAGTAAAACTTCTGAGAGACTTTAATACATTGAAGTGAGTGAAAATTACATAAAGAATCTGTGCAATATAATTACTAATGTTACATTAATAGGTAACAGAACATTGCATGGTGAGGAAATATACCTTCTTTTCAAACATTTATGCACCATAATACAAAAACTGATTCTATGCAACGCTCCAAGGAAGATTAGAAAAAAAAAATCCAAGTAAAACAGAAACCATCAGAAGAGACCTCGCCCTGCAGCTGCACCCATCCATTCCCTGCTTCCTCCCGCTACGGAGGCACAAATGTCTGTCTTCCTTTCCAAGACTAATTAATCCCTCCATCTGTGTTCTGCATTCCAGCTCCTCTGTGTCCTCAGAGAACTCACTCCACCCATCATCCCCTCTCTTTCCTTTATCTTCTTTCACTGTCTCTTTCCTATCAGGGTTAATATGACCAGCGGGTCTCTTCCCATCTTAAATAAAAGTATAATTTTAAAAATGTCTATGTATATACATGTATATACATATGTGTGTATATACATATGTGTATATATATGTGTATGTTTATATATGTGTATGTATATGGGTGTATAATATTTATATATAAAAATATTTTTAAATTATATATATATATAGAACACTCTTTTAATCACGTCTCCAGCTACGACCCTAATTTTTCACCTACTCTTTATCGCCAAGTCTTGAAAAAACTGTTTACATTTGCTGTCTCTAATTTTTCATCATCAATGTATTCCTCAGATCACAGCTTCCTGTGCCAGCTACTTGATTGAAACTGCTTTGGCAAAGCACATTAACAGTCTCTTTACTGCTCATCCAAAAGGCACTTTTAAGCCCTCATCTGCAGAGCACTTGGTACTCCTGGCTCCTGCCTCCTTAAAATCCTCTGCCTCACAGGATTCTCACTTCATTTCTGGTCAGACCTAGAACTGGGCCGTCTCTTGCAGGACAGTGAAGAAATGCTGAAAAGTTTGTGACTGTGGACCAGTCCTCCCTTTCTGCCCTTTATGACTTGAGTTCTCCCTCTCTATATCCTGCGCCCGTGCTGCTCAAAATGTGGCTCACAGTCTAGCAGTATCAGCATCACCTGGGAGGCTGCTGCTGGTCGGGCACATTCTTGGGCTCCACCCTAAACTGCTGGATCTGAATTTCTATGGGTGGAGCAGGTGTCTGTGTTTTAACAAGTTTTCTAGATGATTCATATTTAGGTAAAATGTTTGGGAAGTACTGCCTTATCAGCGTATCACAGAGACTTCTACAAATGTATGAAACTTTAGTGGAGGGTTACAGAAATGAAAGGGAATTCCAGTTTAGGAGATGATCCTTATAGGCTGCTCCTTGTTCTTAGCTTTGCCTGGGTGCTCGGCAGTGTGCTTTCTCTCCAAGAGTTATATAGTAGGCAGCTCCACCCAGAAGAACATTTTCCTCAAGTTTGAGGCTTTTTGGCTAAAATCAACTGCAAGGGATTTGATTTGCAGGGTTTCATTAAAGTGTGTAATTATCAATGGGACAATGGTTGGAATATACACATATATGCACACACACCCCTAGACAAATGCTTCCCCAAGATACCACAGCCTACATTCACAAAGATTTTGCAAGAGAGCCCAACCAATATGCCCAAATAGGTTTTCTTCAGTTCAGTAAAGCTTTCTAATTTATATGTATTTTCAAAACAATTTTTATTACATATATAATATGCTGTATATGTGTTGTAAAAAAAATCCAGAATATCCAGGCAAGGAAATTGACAAACATGTCATGTATTCAATCACACTGCCAAGAGATTACATGTGTTATCATATTAGTGTGTATCCTTCCGGGGATGAGGTGAAGTGGTTGAGGATGCATAACATATATTGATAATTTATATTGTAAAATTAATACATACTTTTTATAAAACTTAAAAAGTTTTTTAAACTTACAAAAACTTCAAATGGCACAGAAGGATATAAAATGGAAAGTAAATGTCACCCTCTACCATCCACAAACTCCTAACCAGTTCCACTTTTTAGAGGTCTAAACAGGATGAATGGTTGCTTCTATTAAGATATTTCCTATGGATGTGTATGTGTGCACCTTTCCATACAAACATGTATGCTTTTGAGAAGTATACAGAATTGATCATTAGGTATAAACTTTTTTACAATTTCTTTTTATTCACTGAGGTTTTTTTGCCTATCAGTTCTCATAATTTGGCTTGTTTTTTTTGTTTTTGAGATGGAGTCTTGCTCTGTCGCCCAGGCTGGTGTTCAGTGGTATGGTCTCGGCTCACTATGACCCCCGCCTCCTGGGTTCAAGCAATTCTCATGCCTCAACCTCCTGAGTAGCTGGGATTGTAGGTGCCAGCCACCATGCCTGGATAATTTTTGTATTTTTTAGTAGAGACAGGGTTTCACCATGTTGGCCAGGCTGGTCTTGAACTCCTGACCTCAAGTGATCCACCCGCCTCAGCCTCTTAAAGTGCTGGGATTACAGGCGTGAGCCACTGCACCCAGTTGGCTTGTTTTTTAACTGGTGATATAAAAGGACATTACATAATTTATTTAACCAGACTCATATCAATGAGCATTTAGATTTTCTCTCAGTGTTACAACAACTTTGTACTTTTGTGCAAGCATGTCTTTATGTGCTTTTAGTTCTCAAAGATACTGTAATTTCTCTTCTCTCTTCATAATCTTCTTGACATTTTGATTTTTCTGTGAACTAGTTTTTCAAGTGTCTGATCAATTCTCCTGCTAATTTGTGTTTTTTTCTTACTGATTTGTAAACACTCTGGATATTAAGAAAACAGTCTTTGCCTATAATTATAATTTTTCCTTCTTTGACATTTAATTTTGCTTAATTTTTATTTCAAATGATTAATATTTTCCTTCGATTTTCTCAAGGCATTTTTTTATATCTTGAGAGAGAGAGATTTAAATGTTGTTTTTGTAGGTTGTGTCCATTTTTGGGGGGCTGGAAATGGAGTCTCACTCTGTCGCCCAGGCTGGAATGCAGTGGCGTGATCTTGGCTCACTGCAACCTCTGCCTCCTGGGTTCAAGTGATTCTCCAGCCTCAGCCTCCTGAGTAGCTGGGATTACAGGCACCCACCACGCCCAGCTAAATTTTGTGTTTTTTAGTAGAAATGGGGTTTCGCCATGTTGGCCAGGCTGGTCTTGAACTCCTGACCTCAGGTGATCCTCCCGCCTTAGCTTCCCAAAGTGCTAGGATTACAGGCATGAGCCACCATGCGCAGCCGGTTGTGCCCATTTTTTAAAAGTTCATTCCAACATATTCTATCTTTTCTCTAGCCATTGCAAATGGGGCATTTTCTTCCATTATTTTTCTAAATGATTATTCTTGGTATTTCTAAAATCTAATAATTTTTTAATATTAATTTCTTCTTGATTTCCAATGTTTAGACTATTTTTTTCTTGCCTAATTACCTTGGCTAATCTTTTAAAAACTCTTCAGTCATACGGTGCTGACTGGTATCCCATCATTTCCCCAATTAAACAGCAGTGTTTCTAATGTTTAAGCATTAAGCATATTAATCATGACTTGCATTTATAAATGGTGTTACAAACATTTACTTTATTTTATATACAGAATTTTTATCAGGAATAATGACTGAATTTTACTAAATGCTGGAAACTTATTTGAGGTAATCAAACTTTTCTACTTTGTCTATTAATATAGTAAATTACATTAGTAGGTTTCCTAAATTTGAGCAACACTAGCATTTGTTGGGTAAACTTCATTTGTATATAGTGCATAATTCAAATTTATGATTAAATTTTCTTTTCAAATATTTTACTTAGGAATTTGGTATCAAATAGATGTTAATGACATTGGAATGTAGTTTTATCTCCAAAATTGTACTGTGTAAAATTTTCAAGCATACATAAAAGTTGATAAAATAACACAATTCACTACTGTACATTTTTTCAACTAGATTCACTAATTACTTATATTTTGCTACATTGGTTCATTATCCCTATCACTCTATCTCTATCTATCTATCTATCTATCTATCTATCTATCTATCTATCTATCTATCTAATTCCTCCATCCAACTAGCTAGCTGACCCTTGTTAATTTACAGACATCACAACACTTACTTCTAAGTATTAATACTTTAGCATGACTCTTCTAAAAATAAGGATCTTCTTCATAACATCATCTCACTAGTACACCTAAAAAATTATAATTTCTAAATATTATCTAATATCCAATCTATGTTAAAATTTCTCCTTTTATAGTTGTTTTTCCCCTTGAACTGGTCAAGGCTCACTCATTGCATTTAGTTTTTCTATCTCTTTAGTTTCTTTTTTTTTAGTGCACTTATTTTTTCATGGTATCGACTTTGTAAAGAGTTCATTCCAGTTGTATTTTAGCATGTCCCATATTCTGGATTTGTCTAATCCAGACAAAATTTGTTAATTTGATTAATTTGTTGATCTCCCTCACGTAATTCCTGTGAATTGATCAGCAAGGTCTTAGGTTTAATTAGAATTGGATTGAACATTTGTGGCAGCAGCACATCAAAAGTGATGCGTGATTTATGTTGCATCATATCAGGAAGTTGATGATGTCAGCTTGATCCAGTATTACTCACACAGGTGGTGAACTACACATACTGTGTTGTATAGATCCATGTTTCCCTGTAAGAAATCTGCAGAGTGATGCCTTGACAACGTGTAAATATTCTGGCTTGCAACAGTCTTTCACACAATGGCTTTAGTGTACATTGATGATCCTTGCCTGAAACAGTATTTAACACAGAGAGTTGCAAACGGTTATTTTCTAATTCTATCATTCCTTCTTCACTCATTCTTCTGTTTTTAAAAAAAGGTTTCTGTTTCTTAATTTCTCACTCTGTATTCAGAGATTTTTATTTATTTAATGTTTTATATGTTACTGACAATATTCTTTTTGGGTTTCAAATTGTCCAAAATGTAGCCAGTGGGAGCACTTTAAACTGTCTTCTTTTGTCATAATTCCATTGAATTTTAGACATTGCCTTGGTTTCTAGAGCAACAGGTGTTCCAAGCCCACCTTGAATTTTCCCTACTCCAGACCTGGCATTACCTGGTTTTTCATGGAGAGTTGGTTATTTTTAGTGGACTTTGTGTGTGTGTGTGTCTGTGTGTGTGTGCATATGTGTCTATGTTGGGTTACACCTTCAACACTCAGCCAAGGTAATTGACAACTTTGTTCTGGCCTTTACTTCCTGCTTCCTTAGAGTCTGTAGGTTAGCCATAGATGACAGCTTAGGACCTTCTCAGGTTGTTTCTGGGCATGCACAAAGCTCTGGCATACGCAGAGCCCCACATAGACATGCGGTCTTCTAGATTTTCAGGAATATGTTGGAGTTTTTCAAAACCACCTGTGGACATCTCATTCCCAGCTTTTTGGTTAGCTTATTGTTTTCCCCAATTGTTATCCACCACCTCATGCAGCCTCAATGTTATATAAGTATCTCTGATTGTTTTGGACAAATGCCTCCTGGGGAAAAGCTGTTTACACTGGGCAAACTCCCAGTTAGATAAACCAAAGACAGCTTTGTGAGTGAAGTCTTCCAGGGAACCACTACACAGGTCAAATAATAATTGGGAATTGGGCATTGAAGGAGCTCCAAACCCATTCTACCCCTGCAAAGTCTGCCAGGCTGCTGGTTTGCACTATGATTACGGGCTGTTGTTTTCAAGGTTACCATGGAGGTGGAGAATGGGGAGAGATGGAAATAGGCAGCTTAGCATGCCACAAAGCTCACTGTTCTTACTGAGCATTTTTCTTTGATAATTACTGCTCAGATTGTTGCAAGCCTTTGGTTAATTTCCAGAGTTTTAAAAATGTTGGTTCTGACCATGTTTTTACTGATTTTATGGAGGAGAGGATTTTTCAGAAGTCTTTATCACTTTTGCTTGTTTGTTCAAATTAGTCTCTACAAAAAATTCAAAAATTAGCCAGGCATGCTGGCATGCAACTGTGGCCCCAGCTACTCAGGAGGCTGAGTTGGGAGGATTGCTTGAGCCCAGGAGGTAGAGGCTGCAGTGAGCCTAGATCAGGCCACTGCACTCCAGCCTGGGTGACAGAGTGAGACCCTGTCTCAAAAAACAAAAACAAAACAAAACAAAAGAAAAACAACAAAGCATGATGAATGCATTAATCTTTTCTTTACTTACCAGTTTTCAAAAACGATGAGCTGTTTGCTAGCCTCCTTAAAATGACTGATGCTGTAGTATGCATCATTTCCTTTCCTTTCCTTTTTTTTTTTTTTCCCCCTGAGACAAGCTCTCACTGTGTTACCCAGGCTGGAGTGCAATGGGTTGATCATAGTTCACTGCAGCCTCAACCTCCTGGGCTCAAGTGATCCTCCCACCCCAGACTCCCAAGTAGCTGGGATTACAGGCACACACCACCATACCCACATTAAAAAAAAATTATAAAATTTTTTGGTAGTGACCAGGTTTCCCTATGTTGCCCCGACTGGTCTCGAACTCCTGGGCTCAAGCCATCCTCTTGCCTTGGCCTCCCAAACTGCTAAGACTATAGATGGGAGCCACCATGCCTGGCCCCCTCCTTTTTTTTAAAAAAAGCTAAATAAGAATCCATTGTAGGTATATACCAAAAAACATCTGTGAGAACCATGATTTCCAGTAGGTAATTGTCTAGGCCAAGGATCACGAATTTTTTCTGTGAAAGCCCAGATAGCACAGTAAATATTTTAGGTTTATTGAGCTGTATGATCTTCACTACCATGACTCAATTCTGCCTTTGTAGAGCAAAAACAGCCTTATCCATTCATCCATAGACAGATACTTAGGTTGTTTCTTCCTTTCGTCTATTGGGAATAATGCTGCCATGATCATCAATGTACCAATGTCTGTTTGTGTCCCTGCTTTCAATTCTTTTGGGTATATTCCTAGAGGTGGAATTGCTGGATCATATGGTAATTCTATGTTTAATATCTTGAGGACTTGCCATACTATTTTCCATGGTAGTTGTACCATTTAACATTTTCACCACCAGTTCACAAGGGTTCTTTTCGCCACATCCTCACCAATACTTGTTATTTTCTGCTTGTTTTGTTATTTTTTTTGTGTGTAATTCTCATCCTAATAGGTGTGAAGTGGTACCTGATTGTGGTTTTGATTTTCAATTCCCTAATAATTATTGATACTGAGCATTTTCATGTGCTTATTGGCCATTTGTATAGCTGTTTTGGAGAAATCCAAGTCCTTTTGTCCTTTTTATTGAATAGGTTGTTTTTTGTTGTTGTTGAGTTACAAGTATTCTTTATATATGCTAGATAATAACCCCTTTCCAAGATGTGATTTGCAAATGTTTTCCCCCATTCCGTGGGTTGCCTCTTCATTCTGTTCATAGTGTCCTTTTGTGCACAAAGGTTTGATTTTGATTTGGTCAAATTTAGTTTTTTTTCATGTGTTTCCTGTGCTTTTAGTGTCATATCCAAGATACCACTGCCCTATTTTTTAACCTTCCTTTTTTAAAGTCTTCAATGTGTATATTGGCAGGCTTTCCACGTTAGGTCATATAGCTTCTTATCATTACTTTTATCAGTTGTAGAGTATTCCTGAGTATGGATGTTCTTGTTTATGTAATCTTTCCCATATTGATGGACATTTAGGTACGGTTCAGTCTTTCCTTTTACATGTATACATGTTAAACAAACAAAAAATCTGGAATGGACATTCATCAAAGTGTTAGAAGTGATTATCTCTGGGCAATAGGGTTAGAAAAAGATTTATTTTGTATTTTTGTTTATCTACATTTTCTAATTTTTAATAATAAACAGGTATTTCTATTTAATAAAAACTTGCAAACTAGTCAATCAATATATTGATATCCTTTGCTTCACTAATTTCACTCTGGAGAGTTTATCCAAAAAAAATTGTTTTGCGTAAGTTAGACAAAAACATCTGCTTGAAGTAATTCGTATCATTGATAATGTTCTAGTTTCATTTAGAAACAGACAATCTTCAGAGAGGGGACTAGTGAGATAAAATATCATATATGAGCTTAGATTATTATGTGAACACAGAAATTAAATTATCAGTGTATGTAGCAGTGTGAAAAAACATCTCTGAGGACCAGGATTTCCAGTAGGTAATTGTCTAGGCCAAGGATCATGAAATTTTTCTGTGAAAAGTCAGATAGTAAAGTAAATATTTTAGCCTTATTGAGCCATATGGTCTTCATTACTACAACTCAATTCTACCTTGAAGAGCATAAACAGCCTTAAATGAATGAAGAGATGTGGCTAGATTTGGCCCAGGGGCCACAGTTTGCAGACCCTCATCAAAGCACATGGATTGGGCCATGAGAGTAAAGGTAATTGAGGTAGGCAGTGCATTTACTTTAAACGTTTCTTTAATGTTATTTAAGGGTGTATTTAAATGAAATTATGTAATATTCATCTGCTTTACACATAGTTTGTGATTTCCAAAGATTTATTTATTTTTTTCTTGAGATAGAGTCTTACTCTGTTGCCCAGGCTGGAGTCCAGTGGCACGTTCTCAGCTCACTGCAGACTCCATCTCCTGGGTTCCAGCAATTCTCCTGCCTCAGCCTCCCGGGTAGCTGGGACTACAGGCACACGCCATCACACCTGGTTAATTTTTGTATTTTTAGTAGAGATGGGGTTTCACCATCTTGGCCAGGCTGGTCTCGAACTCCTGACCTCAAGTGATCTGCCTGCCTTGGCCTCCTGAAGTGCTAGGATTACAGAAATGAAATATAGTTAAGAATATTTTGCAGACGCCCCCAGTTTTGATTGACTTGCTCATTTTCATGGGCCTTTAGTGTACTGGTTTTATTGCAGTTGCGTTCTGTTCTTTCCCAGGAGAAGAAAATGTAATTGCTGTTCCTTTGGGAAGTCGAAGTGTGAGAATTACAGTGAAAGGACCTGCCCACCTCTGTAAGTAGAATTTAATCTTAACATTTTTTAATATCCTGAAAGTTTAGTTAGCCAAAAAAAACAAAAAACAAAAAACCCACAAACCAAACCAACAAGCAAAAAAACTTTCTCTAAGTTAATGGGTAATGTTACTGAACTTGCGTCCACTTACTTGGCACAGCAAAGCTAAACACTGACATTAGGATTTGCAGCCAGAGACAGTGAGGCATTTATTGCAGAGCACCAAGCAAGGAGAATCAAACAGCTCATGCTTAAGACCTGAACTCCCAGATGTGTTACATGTAAGGATTTTTAAAGACAGGGAGATAGAAGTTACAGGCAAAGTCACAAATTAATACTGGAGGCTACGCACTGGTTTGACCTGAAAAGGTGGAATATCTTGAAGTGGGGGCTTACAGACCATAGGTAGATTCAAATATTTTCTGATTTGCAATTGGTTAAGAGAGGGAAGTTTTGCCTAAAGACTTGGAGTCAGCAGAAAAGAATGTTAGATCTGGCCCTTGGGCGTGATCTCCTCCAGGTGCCTCAGGAAGAAATGTAGGACAAAGAAAGGCAGTCAGAGTTCAGCCTCAGTTCCCTCTTACCGGAGGTCTCTGTGCCGGTGGATCCATTTGGTAGGGATCTAGATTTCCTGAAAAACTACCCAGGGACATATGTTAAAATGTTATCTTCAGTTTCTATAGGGAACCATACATCCTGTGACTCTAACTTTTTCTGGCTATTGTTTTAATCCACTATTACCTTGTTGCCTGTGAAGTTGCTCATTACTTCTCAAGGCTAGCTAGATGCCTGGAATTTCTCTTGAAGGAATTCAAGATTTTCCCTTATTTCCATTCATGGGGGTGGTGGTACCCTGTTGGGTACCCCCAACTATTCTGTAGTGGGCAAAATAGTCTATATAACCAGGGAAATTATCTGTATTGTACCCTGAATTTTTCTGTTCTCATACCCCAATGGGAAATTTGCCTGTTTAAGATTAATCCCCTCATGGGAGAATAAAAACCAAATTTTATGTCAAATAAACTATTTTTGTATAGGATGGCTGGGTGTGGTGGTTCACGCCTGTAATGCCAGCTCTTTGAGAGGCTGTGGCAGGAGGATCACTTGAGTCTAGGAGTTTGAGACAAGCCTGGGCAGCACAGGAAGACCCCATCTCTACGAAAAATTAAAAAAAAAAATTAGCTAGGCATAGTGGCGCACGCCTGTAGTCCAAGCTACTCAAGAGGTTGAGGTAGTCCAGGGAGTAGCTTGGCTACTACAGGCATGTAGTCCATGCTACTCCTTGCGCCTAGGAGTTCAAGGTTGCAGTGAGCTCTGATTGCACCACTGCAATCTGCCACTCCAGCCTGAGTGACACAGGAAGACCATGTCTCTAAAATAATAATAGTATATGGAGAGTAAAGTAAGATTTGGGAATGTTCTGGAGATTTTAGCAAAGTGGGACAAAACAAAACAAAATTTAAAATACAAAACCTTATCAGTGAATATGGCCGATCAGAACAAGCCTTGCTGCTAGCACATCACAGCTTCCCATGTAGGGGTCCCTGAAGGCTGACACTGTTTTCCCAGAATACTGTGATTTTCAAATAATAAATAGATTATTGTGATGATTTCACTCTGGGAATACACTGAAACCATTAAATTATGCATTTTAAAAGGGCAAAGTTTATGGCATGCAAAGTATATATGGAAAAGATGCTTAAAAAACAAAAAAATGCAATGGATGGTCTTGATATTCTCATGATATTAAAGGCCATTCCCCAAAATTCAGCTCCAAAACTAGTTTTATAAATTGTAAAAACAGAATAAGTAAGCAATAAATAGAATAAGTAAAGGTGAGGGAGGTGGAGCCAAGATGGCCGAATAGGAATAGCTCCAGTCTACAGCTCCCAGCATGAGTGACGTAGAAGACGGGTGATTTCTGCATTTCCAACTGAGGTACCGGGTTCCTCTCTCTGGGGAGTGTCGGAGAGTGGGTGCAGGACAGTAGGTGCAGCACACTGAGCCTGAGCCAAAGCAGGGCAAGGCATCGCGTCACCCGGGAAGCGCAATGGGTCAGGGAATTCCCTTTCCTAGTCAAAGAAAGGGGTGACAGACGGCACCTGGAAAATCGGGTCACTCCCACCCTAATACTGTGCTTTTCCAATGGTCTTAGCAAATGGCACACCAGGAGATTATATCCCACGTCTGGCTCAGAGGGTCCTATGCCCACGGAGCCTTGCTCATTGCTAGCACAGCAGTCTGAGATCAAACTGCAAGGTGGCAGCGAGGCTGGGGGAGGGGCACCCACCATTGCTGAGGCTTGCCTCTGTAGACTCCACCTACTCCACCTAGGGGTGCCTGCCTGCCTCTGTAGACTCCACTTCTGGGGGCAGGGCACAGCCAAACAAAAGGCAGCAGAATCCTCTGCAGACTTAAATGTCCCTGTCTGACAGCTTTGAAGAGAGTAGTGGTTCTCCCAGCACGCAGCTTGAGATCTGAGAATGGACAGACTGCCTCCTCAAGTGGGTCCCTGACCCCGGAGTCACCCCCTAGTAGGGGCAGACTGACAGCTCACACGGCCAGGTACTCATCTGAGACAAAACTTCCAGAGGAACGATCAGGCAGCAACATTTGCTGTTCACCAATATCCTCTGTTCTGCAGCCTCCGCTGCTGATACCCAGGCAAACAGGGTCTGGAGTGGACCTCCAGCAAACTCCAACAGACCTGCAGCTGAGCGTCCTGACTTGTAGAAGGAAAACTAACAAACAGAAAGGACATCCACACCAAAACCCCATCTGTACGTCACCATCATCAAAGACCAAAGGTAGATAAAACCACAAAGATGGGGAAAAAACAGGAGAAAAACTGGAAACTCTAAAAATCAGAGCACCTCTCCTCCTCCAAAGGAACACAGCTCCTCACCAGCAACGGAACAAAGCTGGATGGAGAATGACTTTGACGAGTTGAGAGAAGAAGGCTTCAGACAATCAAACTACTCCGAGCTAAAGGAGGAAGTCCGAACCCATGGCAAAGAAGTTAAAAACCTTGAAAACAAATTAGACGAATGGCTAACTAGAATAACCAATGCAGAGAAGTCCTTAAAGAACCTGATGGAGCTGAAAACCAAGGCACGAGAACGTGACGAATGCACAAGCCTCAGTAGCCAATTCGATCAACTGGAAGAAAGGGTGTCCGTGATGGAAGATCAAATGAATGAAATGAAGCGAAAAGAGAAGTTTAGAGAAAAAAAGAATAAAAAGAAATGGACAAAGCATCCAAGAAATATGGGACTATGTGAAAAGACCAAATCTACGTCTGATTGGTGTACCTGAAAGTGACGGGGAGAATGGAACCAAGTTGGAAAACACTCTGCAGGGTATTATCCAGGTGAACTTCCCCAATCTAGCAAGGCAGGCCAACATTCAAATTCAGGAAATACAGAGAATGCCACAAAGATACTCCTCGAGAAGAGCAACTGCAACACACATAATTGTCAGATTCACCAAAGTTGAAATGAAGGAAAAATTGTTAAGGGCAGCCAGAGAGAAAGGTCGGGTTACCCACAAAGGGAAGCCCATCAGGCTAACAGCAGATCTCTTGGCAGAAACTCTACAAGCCAGAAGAGAGTGGGGGCCAATATTCAAAATTCTTAAAGAAAAGAATTTTCAACCTAGAATTTCATATCCAGCCAAACTAAGCTTCATAAGTGAAGGAGAAATAAAATCCTTTACAGATAAGCAAATGCTGAGAGATTTTGTCACCACCAGGCCTGCCCTAAAAGAGCTCCTGAAGGAAGAGCTCAACATGCAAAGGAACAACTGGTACCAGCCACTGCAAAAACATGCCAAATTGTAAATACCATTGATGCTAGGAAGAAACTGCATCAACTAATGGGCAAAATAACCAGCTAACATCATAATGACAGGATCAAATTCACACATAACAATATTAACCTTAAATGTAAATGGGCTAAATACCCCACTTAAAAGACACAGACTGGCAAATTGGATAAAGAGTCAAGACCTATCAGTGTGCTGTATTCAGGAAACCCATCTCACGTGCAGAGACACACATAGGCTCAAAATAAAGGGATGGAGGAAGACCTACCAAGCAAATGGAGAACAAAAAAAGGCAGGGGTTGCAATCCTAGTCTCTGATAAAACAGACTTTAAACCAACAAAGATCAAAAGAGACAAAGAAGGCCATTACATAGTGGTAAAGGGTTCAATTCAACAAGAAGAGCTAACTATCCTAAATATATATGCACCCAATACAGGAACACCCAGATTCATAAAGCAAGTCCTTAGAGACCTACAAAGAGACTTAGACTCCCATACAATAATAATGGGAGACTTTAACAACCCACTGTCAACATTAGACAGATCAATGAGACAGAAAGTTAACAAGGATATCCAGGAATTGAACTCAGCTCTGCACCAAGCAGACCTAATAGACATCTACCGAACTCTCCACCCCAAATCAACAGAATATACATTCTTTTCAGCACCACACCACACCCAAAACTGACCACATAGTTGGAAGTGAAGCACTCCTCAGCAAATGTAAAAGAACAGAAATTATAACAAACTGTCTCTCAGACCACAGTGCAATCAAACTAGAACTCAGGATTAAGAAACTCACTCAAAACTGCTAACTATATGGAAACTGAACAACCTGCTCCTGAATGACTACTGGGTACATAACGAAATGAAGGCAGAAATAAAGATGTTCTTTGAAACCAATGAGAACAAAGACACAACATACCAGAATCTCTGGGACACATTCAAAGCAGTATGTAGAGGGAAATTTATAGCACTAAATGCCCACAAGAGAAAGCAGGAAAGATCTAAAATTGACACCCTCACATCACAATTAAAAGAACTAGAGAAGCAAGAGCAAACACATTCAAAAGCTAGCAGAAGGCAAGAAATAACTAAGATCAGAGCAGAACTGAAGGAAATAGAAACACAAAAAACCCTTCAAAAAAATCAATGAATCCAGGAGCTGGTTTTTTGAAAAGATCAACAAAATTGATAGACTGCTAGCAAGATTAATAAAGAAAAGAGAGAAGCATCAAATAGATGCAATAAAAAATGATAAAGGGGATATCACCACCGATCCCACAGAAATACAAACTACCATCAGAGAATACTATAAACACCTCTAAGCAAATAAACTAGAAAATCTAGAAGAAATGGATAAATTCCTTGATATATACACCCTCCCAAGACTAAACCAGGAAGAAGTTGAATCTCTGAATAGACCAATAACAGGCTCTGAAATTGAGGCAATAATTAATAGCCTACCAACCAAAAAAAGTCCAGGACCAGATGGATTCACAGCTGAATTCTACCAGAAGTACAAGGAGGAGCTGGTACCATTCCTTCTGAAACTATTCCAATCAATAGAAAAAGAGGGAATCCTCCCTAACTCATTTTATGAGGCCAGCATCATCCTGATACCAAAGCCTGGCAGAGACACAACCAAAAAAGAGAATTTTAGACCAATATCCCTGATGAACATCAATGCAAAAATCCTCAATAAAATTCTGGCAAACCAAATCCAGCAGCACATCAAAAAGCTTATCCACCATGATCAAGTTGGCTTCATCCCTGTGATGCAAGGCTGGTTCAACATACGCAAATCAATAAACGTAATCCAGCATATAAATAGAACCAAAGACAAAAACCACATGATTATCTCAATAGATGCAGAAAAAGCCTTTGACAAAATTCAACAACGCTTCATGCTAAAAACTCTCAATAAATTAGGTATTGATGGAACGTATCTCAAAATAATAAGAGCTATCTATGACAAACCCACAGCCAATATCATACTGAATGGGCAAAAACTGGAAGCATTCCCTTTGAAAACTGGCACAAGACAGAGATGCCCTCTCTCACCACTCCTATTCAACATAGTGTTGGAAGTTCTGGCCAGGGCAATCACGCAGGAGAAAGAAATAAAGGGTATTCAATTAAGAAAAGAGGAAGTCAAATTGTCCCTGTTTGCAGATGACATGATTGTATATCTAGAAAACCCCATCGTCTCAGCCCAAAATCTCCTTAAGCTGATAGGCAACTTCAGCAAAGTCTCAGGATACAAAATCATGTGCAAAAATCACAAGCATTCTTATACACCAATAACAGACAAACGGAGAGCCAAATCATGAGTGAACTCCCATTCAGAATTGCTTCAAAGAGAATAAAATACCTAGGAATCCAACTTACAAGGGACATGAAGGACCTCTTCAAGGAGAACTACAAACCATTCCTCAATGAAATAAAAGAGGATACAAACAAGTGGAAGAACATTCCATGCTCGTGGGTAGGAAGAATCAGTATCGTGAAAATGGCCATACTGCCCAAGGTAATTTATAGATTCAACGCCATCCCCATCAAGCTACCAATGACTTTCTTCACAGAATTGGAAAAAACTACTTTAAAGTTCATATGGAACCAAAAAGAGCCCACATTGCCAAGTCAATCGTAACCCAAAAGAACAAAGCTGGGGGCATCACGCTACCTGACTTCAAGCTATACTACAAGGCTACAGTAACCAAAACAGCATGGTACTGGTACCAAAACAGAGATATAGACCAATGGGACAGAACAGAGCCCTCAGAAATAATGCCGCATATCTACAACCATCTGATCTTTGACAAACCCGACAAAAACAAGAAATGGGGAAACAATTCCCTATTTAAGAAATGGTGCTGGGAAAACTGGCTAGCCATATGTAGAAAGCTGAAACTGGATCCCTTCCTTGCACCTTATACAAAAATTAATTCAAGATGGATTAAAGACTTAAATGTTTGACCTAAAACCATAAAAACCCTAGAAGAAAACCTAGGCAATACCATTCAGGACATAGGCATGGGCAAAGACTTCATGTCTAAAACACCAAAAGCAATGGCAACAAAAGCCAAAATTGACAAATGAGATCTAATTAAATTAAAGAGCTTCTGCACAGCAAAAGCAACTACCATCAGAGTGAACAGGCAACCTACAGAATGGGAGAAAATTTTTGCAATCTACTCATCTGACAAAGGGCTAATATCCAGAATCTACAATGAACTCAAACAAATTTACAAGAAAAAAACAGCCCCATCAAAAAGTGGGTGAAGGATATGAACAGACACTTCTCAAAAGAAGACATTTATGCAGCCAAAAGACACATGAAAAAATGCTCATCATCATTGGCCATCAGAGAAATGAAATCAAAACCATGATGAGATACCATCTCACACCAGTTAGAATGGTGATCATTAAAAAGTCAGGAAACAACAGGTGCTGGAGAGCATGTGGAGAAATAGGAACACTTTTACACTGTTGGTGGAACTGTAAACTAGTTCAACCATTGTGGAAGACAGTGTGGTGATTCCTCAAGGATCTAGAACTAGAAATACCATTTAACCCAGCAATCCCATTACTGGGTATATACCCAAAGGATTATAAATCATGCTGCTATAAAGACACATGCACATGTATGTTTATTGTGGCACTATTCACAAAAGCAAAGACTTGGAACCAACCCAAATGTGTAACAATGATAGACTGGATTAAGAAAATGTGGCACATATACACCATGGAATACTATGCAGCCATAAAAAAGGATGAGTTCATGTCCTTTGTAGGGACATGGATGATGCTGGCAACCATCATTCTCAGCAAACTATCACAAGGACAAAAAAACAAACACTGTGTGTTCTCACTCATAGGTGGGAATTGAACAATGAGAACACATGGACACAGGAAGGGGAACATCACACACCGGGTCCTGTTGTGGGGTGGGGGGAGTGGGGAGGGATAGCATTAGGAGATATACCTCATGTTAAATGACGAGTTAATGTGTGCAGCGCACCAACATGGCACATGTATACATATGTAACTAACCTGCACATTGTGTATGTGTATCCTAAAACTTAAAGTATAATAAAAAAAAAGAATAAGTAAAGGTGAACACTTTGAGGCAAAAATTCATTTATGTGTATATGTTCTGGCATATTCAACATAACTTTATATTCAAGACTGGCACTCGTCCAAGAACAGGGCTCAGAAATGTTCCCATTTCTCCAAGAGTGACAAATCTGTTGCTTGGACTATTTCCCTTTCTGAACAATCTCACAATTGGCAGTAGAAGTATTTCTGAAAGTTATCCTTCTTTGCTGATGAATAGAACTGGCTTCATTTACTAAGGACTTAGTTAACATTTCTGAATATCTAAATATAGAAGTGGTTTTATTTTCTGGATTTATGCAACTTTTTTCTTAGTTTTTATTTGTAAAAGAGATATTTCTGAAATGAAGCTTATTTTGCAGTAATAAATCATTCTTTTAATATCCACATTAACTATAACTATCCAAAAGACTGCATTACTAAGAACTGAAAATACCCAGCAACATCAATGTCAGTCTCTTTGCTGTGAAGTGAATTTTAATTACAGAATATCCATCTTACATACTGCCTAGAGGTGTTTGTTTAGATCCTGAATTTCCAGTCCTGTCCCAAGCCTGGCCACAGCATTATGGGGAGCACACAGCCCCAAATTTTCCAGGAGTGCATCCCTTCAAAAATGGAAGCAATAAGCAGATCCCTGCAAAACAGATTTTATTGTAGCAAAACCTTAGCATTAAATGTGTTTAACTAGCAGTAAACTTAAGAAGCCAAGAGGTCATAAACCAAAAACCTCCAATTCAGTTGGAAGAATATTTTCCCTTTAAGCCCTATCTGAGGACCATATATAGAGATGTATAAATATAAGCATGGATGCAGTACCTGATGACCAGTCAAAGGAAATTGACATGAATGAAATTAGCATATGCTATAGAAATACAGCTCTACTGTACATATAAGTTTGATGTATTTATAACTATGTTAGCCATGCTAAACACTCATTCCACATTTACCTGACAGTACTTTCATGGCCTTTAGAATTTAGGGAGACCTCTTGGGGATGGTTACCATGACCCTGCCTTTTTTGAAAGAAGCCTGAACTGATACTTCTCAGTGCAGATCCTTCAACTAGAAGCAATTAGAAGCATTCATCATTTTCTAGGCATAATTTCTTTTACAAATAACTAGTAGTGGATTAAAATATTTAAAGGCATCACTAGAGACCTGAGTTGTGAAGATTTTGGGATACAAGAAAGTCTTGATTTCTAATTTTTACTCTTTTTGAGACTACCTATCATATCTTCCTCAACACTTCCCTCCCTCCCCTCAATATTAAGTCTGGAGAGGAGAAAGAAGTTGGGCCGTGGGCAGCAGGAAAGAAGGCTCACACTCTCTTCCCTTAATTCTGGTGGGGATGCTTATAGGCTTCCTGGGGTCGCCTACACACTAACCACCTTGCTGCGGAAACCACAGAGGGTCAGTGAAACCTCTGAGAACCGAAGGGCTTGTGCATGCAGCTCTCACTAGCTATGAATCACACATTGTGAACAACATGGGGCTACAGTAAATATAGGGAAATGGTGGAAATTAATAAAAACTTAAAGGTATCCATAAGTCAATACATCATCTGAATTGTTGATTGAAACACCACAAACTCCTTTTTTTGTCATTTATTTTTAAGAGGCACCAGCACAAAGAAGCAAGTTTGCCACCAATAAAAATGACAACTTTTAAAGAACTGCATCGGCCTCCACCTTGCTGTGGATTGGGCACAGTGGCTTTGTTAATCCAGATTATCAGAATTGTTTGCATCCATAAACTCCACCTTCACCAAATCACTTCACCAGTCTTTCTTCACCCACCTTTGACTCTGCTTACCCATTTACACAATTGAGGTCAAAACACCTGCTTTCTGCCTCCTAGATAGGCAACCAGTGTTTGTGCTTTAGAGAACTGGAAGCCTTTTGAAATACTCAAATTAAAAATATTTTACAATAAGCGTACCATTTAGTGGAGAAGCAGAGTGGTTTGGGTAATTTATGTGAACTTGAAAATTGTTTTTGCTACTTGTGTTTTTATATCCATGTCACTGAGACTCTTAGACACCATTAAAATAGTGGCTAGATTCTGTATTAAAAACAAAGTATCAAAACCAAGTTAACAAAAATGCTGGCCTATGGTTTAGGGAATGGATATCGTAGCAACTGGTCCTCCCTTCCTCCCAGATCACCTTCCCAGATTTTTACACCCCTTGCCCCAATTCTGCATCCCGATCTGCAACTTGGAACGCTGTGGTCCAGAAGGTTAGCACAATGGTAAAGCAATTACTACTCCAACACAGCCGCGGAATCCATTGCACGCTACTTGAATTTAATCAAGTCATTTCAGGCTAAATCAGTGTCTAGAAACTTGTATTTTGCATGCCTTCTGTGAGGATGTGTTATGTTCCACTGAACTTTGCATCTTAATATTGCCTTAATGCTCTTATTGCTTATCATTTTTTTTTCTCATGGACTTTAGAGACATCCATTGTAGGGCCCATTTACTATCTCTAGTTCCCCATTTCATTTTTACTGACAACTCACTTTATAACACTCAGTTTTATATCTTCATTGGAACTAGGAAATGAATTTAATCTCACACTTTCCAAAAATCTATTGCGGTCATGGAGATCAGGGCCAAAGTGGTTGGGGTTTTGTATGCCTGCAAGTAGCCAGCATTATTCTTCGACCACTAATGACTCCTCCAGATCAAGTAGCTCATGTCCAGCCTTTGAATTTTCCCAGAAAAGTTCCCAGCCTGCCTGTCAGGGATAATCAGGGATGTCTCCTAAGGCCTGTTATGCAGTCTGTCCAGGGCACTTGAATTCCTGCAGCTGCTCCAGTGACAGAGAAAAATCCAGCAAATGAAAACAACCAAAGCCCAGCAGGCTATGGATGGAAGCTCCCTAATGCTGGACGATTTTGTTGCATTTTATCAGCTTTCCATTTTTGACACTCAACGGAGTTTTGGTTCTTCTGTGTTCTTTGTTTGAGATTTTTAAAGACTGGTATGATATCATTGAATCAAGTGTGGGTTTTAGAATAGAGCTGGACCTGAGAGATTGTCTGCTCTGACTCCTCATTTTAGGTATGAGGCAATGAAAACCCAAGGCAGAAAGTTAGAGAAAAATACGGGGCCAGAAACGCAGGTGCCCCAGAACCTAGCTGTATATACATTTTTTGTTGCCTCTCTCAACATGAAACCAGATCTACTAAGTGTGGTGACACTTAGAAAATAAAAGAAAGAAAAGAAAGAGGGAGGAAAGACAGAAATTTAAATAAAGTACAAATGTTTTTTTGTTTAAACTGTGATAAGCAAACTTTTTTTCTGTAGGAAATCTTAAAAGCACTTTTGTTCATGTGAAAGCAAATTCACATAAAGGGGTTTCATGCACAAGGGAGGTCTTTGTGGCAATGGAGTGGTTCTGTATTTTGATTGTGGTGGTGGGTGATAAAATGGCATTGAACTATATGCACATATTGTACCAGTGTCAATTTCCTGGTTTTGATATTCAACTATACTTTTGTAACATGTAAACATTAGACAAAAGGGAATGAAGGTTACAAAGGACCTCTCTATACTATTTTTGCAACTTCCTGTTAATCTGAAATTATTTCAAAATCAAAAGTTTTGTTTGATAAAAAGCAAATTTGAAATTTGCTGTGATTTTTGTCTAAAAGAGTAGGCATAAGATCTTTTGAACAAGTAATAAAATGAGTGAACATAGCTTTACTTTGAGTATTAGCTAAATCATGAAAACATATAAAGAAAGAAAAGTTTTCTCTTTCCCCTTATGCTAGAAATGGCTCCAAATATTTGAGTAGAACTATTTGGGCCTGCCACCCTTGTTAGCTCCTTTTGTTACGGGCAATTAAAAATCTGATATATCTATTCCACCAATATCAATGAATGTTTGTAAACTGAGTGGCTATTTTGACATTGTTTTGATATCATATACTGACATTGTATTTGCTAAAATGTCTTTTGTAATAAAATACCTTTAAGATTGTTTCTTATTTGAATCATATATTTTAATTTTAGTTATTGAATCAAAAACACTTCAAGGAAGCAAAGGAGAACACAGCTTTAACAGCCCCGGCGTCTTTCTCGTAGAAAACACAACAGTGGAATTTCAGAGGGGCTCCGAGAGGCAAACTTTTAAGATTCCAGGACCTCTGATGGCTGATTTCATCTTCAAGGTAGGATGATCCTCTTCATAAACTTCATGTACCTGAATCCCAGAACATCTTGATTTTTAAAACAATGAGTTTGTTTAGCAAGAGGTCATCAATCATTGTTTTTTATACAGAGCATGTGTCATCAATATTTCCATCTTGGCAGTCCATTCTTAAAAATTGTTCAGCACTCTTAAATTTCTGCTCCTAACCCTAACAGTTAAAAAACAAACTTCACTTTTATGGGGGAAGGATTGATTCTGTATTTATAATCTCTGGTTGCTTTGTTCAGTTTGTTTGTTGGTTTAAGAAACAGGGTCTCCCTGTGTTGCTCAGGCTGCTGCAGTGGCTATTCACAGCTGCAGTCATAGCCTTGAATTCCTGGGCCCAAGTGATCCTTCTGCCTCAACCTCCCAAGTAGCTGTGTTCAGTTTTAGATAGAGTTTGGTGAAAACGGCCGATGGTTAAATGCACCATATCCTAAACCAGTATTGTGCCGCTGCATGTCTTCTTGCAAAGGAGAGCAGAGACAACAGCGGCTCATTCCTTAGCCTCCTTTAAGATAGTTATCCTTAAGGCGTCTTTACTTCGACCTTCAGCCCTTAGAACATGCAGTCTTGCGGTGGGCTGATTCAAGATCAGGATTTGCTTCCCCAGATGTTCTATGACAGATACTTGTCACAAGATACCTTCAGAAGAACTCTTCTTCTCTGGAACCATGAGCCTGTGTCCCCTCTCTGGATACTGCTGGGGCATCTTCCCTCATTCAGAGGACATGAAGTATAGTGGCCAATATATTTCCAAGGTGACACAGTTTGAAACTCTTCTGATAAATTTGAAAATGCCTAAGAAATGAAAAAGATAGTTCAGTGTGTGGTTTTGCCGTATCCTGTTTCAGAAACCCATTCCAAAATGTAAATGGAAGCTAGGAAATAGCCCCAATTACCAGTTATATTTTTCTGTATGAAAAAAACCCTTTAGCTTTAAAAAGCTGTCTGTGTTCTACATATTAATTTGTCACGGAATGTTTCACTGAGACATCAGTTGTGTCAGCAGAGGAACATGCACGGAGGTAGATTAGAGTTGCTGACTCATCCCAATCCCTGAGATACAAATTCAGCCTGCAGTGGGACTGGCCAAGCGTTGGCCTGCACAGTGTATTGTTTTGTTTCTGAAACTTTGGATTTTGAATAATCAACTCTTAAAAATCAAGAGATTTTTACATCAAAAGATCAGGGTTTGTTTTTTTTTTCTTTCTGCTTCTCTGTAAAAATGGGAAGAGCTTGCATTTTACAATAGCAATAAGTGACTGTAACTGAGGAACAGCTGCCTTCCAGTCTCGGGTCTGCCGTGGTCCACACCACTGTGTATTGTGTCCCTAACACTAAAGGCGTAAGTGGTTGGTTGCCATTCATCCTGATCTGGGCATTTATAGCATCTGCCTAGCCTCCACAGACATTTATGTTTCTGACTTCTGTGTCATATCCTTAAAGCATTGATCCAATAGTCTTCTTAGACAGTCATATTATGAAAGGTTTTGGGGAAGCCATAATTACCTTTTTTTTTAAAGTCTCTCTCTGGTCTATTGTTATGACATAAATTCTATGCTTTCCTTGCCCTCCTTAGGGCCTTCCTATGTGATTCTCAAGTAGAAAATATACACCACACACACACACACACACACACACACACAGAGTTTTTGTTCTCTTTTAATTACTACTCAGAGAATCTGTATTCTTCTCAAGTCAACTTGGAGGTCCTTGACTGAATAGGAGACATTAATACAATGATGAAACGAGGAAAGTACCCACAAAGATTAGTATTTCAAGATATTGTTTGGTTACAGTGTCAGCATCAGTAGATCTTAATAATATATTGTTTATTGACACCATTTATAAAAACACACATAAGCTGCATATTTCTATGAGTTTGTATGTACACACACGTATATGTATATGTATATTTTTAAAAATAATTTGGAAGGATACATTTCAAAATGGAAACACTGAAAACAACAGTGACTATTTTAGAGGGGATAACATTTTGTAATATCTAATTCTTAAAATAATGTTTAAAAGGAAGAATGTGGCTGGGCGTGGTGGCTCATGCCTGTAATCCCAGCACTTAGGGAGGCCAAGGCGGGTGGATCACCTGAGGTCAGGAGTTCTAGACCAGCCTGTCCAACATGATGAAACCTCATCTCTACTAAAAATACAAAAATAGCCGGACGTGGTGGCACGCACCTGTAATCCCAGCCACTCAGGGGGCTGAGGCAGGAGAATTACTCCAACCCAGGAGGCAGAGGTTGCAGTGAGCCAAGATCGCACCACTGCATTCCAGCCTGGGCAACAGAGCAAGACTCCATCTCAAAAAAATAGTAATTAAAAAAATAAATAATAAAAAGTAAATGGAAGAATGAATTCTTTTGAAGTGGCCAAGTCAAGTAGTTGAATTTGAATTCATTTTTATACCATTGGTTTTTTTTGTTTGTTTGTTTTTGAGATAGGGTCTTGCTCTGTCACCCAGGCCAAGTACAGGCTGCAAGTAATCCTCTGGCCTCAGCCTCCCAACTACCTGGAACTACAGGCACACAACCCCACAGCCACCTAATTATTAATTTTTTTGTAGAGACAGAGTCTCACTATGTTACCCAGGCTGGCCTTGAACTCCTGGGCTCAAGCAACGCTCCTGCCTCAGCCTCCTAAAGAGCTGGGATTAGAGGTGTGAGCCACCATGGCTGGCCACATACTTTTATTATAAAACTCATTTTCCTCATCAAACAGTGGTAATACACTTTTGCAAATGTTAATGTGCATTTCTCTTTTGCCATTCTCTGTACTTCACCATCTGCTTTGTCAGCAGAGCTGTTTGCCCTGCGGATTTGACAGCAGTGGTATGGCAGGTGAGTGATTAGCAGGAGTGCAAGAGAAAGCATTCATGCTCATCTTTTCATGATTAAAGTAGGGTTATTATTATTTTTAGCTTAGTCTTTTGTTTTGACAGCCACCCTTAGTGGAGAGAGATGAAGATTTTCCAAATTGATTTAGTCCCCATAACATTTCCAGGGCCAAGCCCGGGGTCCTAACCCATAGCACATCTTCTATAACATGGAGAGGATGCTCCTTTCTCCAGTAAGGCTGCACCTCGGTCTAGTGTCCTCAGGAGGATGTGCACCACAGGGCATGTCCAGCCAGGATGTGGAAAGCCTTCTCCCTCTCCTGGCGCCAGGACAAAGGAAGCGGGCAGCGAGCCATGAAATTCATGATGGTGGTTGCTCTCCAGGGCAGGGAGGCTTTCAGGGAAAGCCAAAAGCAGAAAAGGAGCTTTTGCTCCCATCCCACGCAGAGCTCCCAGAGGAAAGCGCCTCATAGGGATCCCACCTCCATCAGCAGCAACCCAGAGAAGCCACATGAGAGTGAAAGTGGAATTAGTGCCATGAAATGTTTAGTCACAGGTTGAGTCTCCCCGGAGTCTCCTTCAGTTCCTGAGTGGTAATGGAAGACATCTAGAAAATTTAGTGTACTCCTGACTGGCCAGGGGGTGACATGGTGCTGGCAAAATGACCCTTTAGCGGAGAGGTGTAGGTAGAGAGACTATGGGTCCTATTTTGTTCAGAAAAGGCCCAGTTTGTGCCTGTTACCCCTGCTTAATTGTTAGTAGCTCCTCCTTTCACTCTCAGAGCCATCCTGGCATGAACAATAAAGCCGATGGTCTCCCTAGATGCAGAGCTCTAAAGCCAGCCAAGGATTGGATAGGGGTCCCAGCCACACCACCGAGAACGTGCAGCAAGACAAGAATGACAGTGTCGAGGGACTAGGGGAAAGATAGTGTGCTCACTGGCAGCAATTAGGGCCCATCTGAGGATATCATGCATGGATTTGAGTAAGTTGCTGTGTATTTGCCCTGCACTGAAAGTAAAAGGCACTGGTCCAGGTGTCACATGTGAACAAGACGATGTGATCTCCGGAAGCCCGGTAGGCGTTTGTCTTTCTTGTGGACCTTCTCAGCGAGGAAACCTCAGAAACTCCACAGTAGACCTTTTACCACCTCTCATCGACAAGAATTGGGTCACGTGCCCACTCTATACCATCCACCACTGTGTTCATCTGGGTCCTCTAAGAATCAAATGCCAAGGCAGGATGAGAAGTGAAAGAAATTTATTCAGGAAATGCCTGTGAGAAAAAAGAGGGAGAGAAAGCAGGGTGATGCTGAGAGAGCCGTCAGTTTGCACTGAAAATCTGACCATGAGTGAAGGAGAGAGGGAAGGAAGGAAGGTTGGATACAAGCATATTAAATGCAGTAGGTTCTAGGAGAATTCAGCAAAGCTGGAGAGGAAACCCTGAGCCAATGTCATTCATCATAGGACTCCAGTGTCTCCCAAGAATGGCTCTGCCTTCAGTACCCTTGCTGTGCTTAGTCACTGGCTAGGAGCATCCCATGGGAAGCTTGACCCAGAACTGGGGCTGTTGGCCAGTGACACCCTTTGCAGTTGTGTATCTGAGCAGAACACTCATGGGTCCTGCCACTAGCAAGGCAAATGTGACCATGGTGATTCACGTAGAACAATCAGGATGTGCGGTGGCTCACGCCTGTAATACCAGCACTTTGGGAGGCTGAGGCAGGCAGATCATGAGATCAGGAGATCAAGACCATCCTGGCCAACATGGTGAAACCCCATCTCTACTAAAAATACAAAAATTAGCTGGGCATGGTGGCACGCGCCTGTAATCCCAGCTACTTGGGAGGCTGAGGCAGGAGAATCACTTGAACCCGGGAAGTGGAGGTTGCAGTGAGCCGAGATTGCACAGCCGCACTCTGGCCGGGTGACAGAGCGAGACTTCATCTCAAAAAATAAAATAAAATAAAATAAATAAAAAAAAGAACAATCAGGATGTATGTGTAAGACACAGGAGGAAGGAATGAACAAGAACAAAATTGAGTGTCTGTAGACTGGAAAGGAGAAATGGATGCTGGTAGGCAATGAAATGTGTCTACTACACTAAGGATTTCTCTTTCTGTAACACATCTGGCTTAATGCCTTTTCTCTCTTTTTTTCTTTTCTTTTCTTATTTTTCTTTTCGGTGGTAATGGAAAAGACTTAGAAACCATTTATGTTTCTCTTAGGCTTATTATTTTAGCCAATTTTGAAATTTACATTTTTCTACGGAAGTATCCAATTCATCCATTTTTCAAACTTAGCTCTTCAAATGTAATCATGGTATTCCCTTATTGTTAAAAACAATCTCCTCTTTACCTATAACAATGTCTCTTTCATTCCTAAACTCGTTTATTGGTTCCTTGCGTAATTGTTGTTTTGTTCAGACCATCCAAACATTGTCTCTGAGACATCTAACAACTACATTTTTGTTTTGTTCGTTAACTCAGAGTTTTTTTTACATTTCTATTTATATAAATTTTTATTTACTTCTTTTATCTTTGTATGGGTTTATTTTGGTATTATATTTTCAGCTGCTAGAGCTGAATTCTTAATTCATTCTATTTTCATTTTTTTTCTCCATTAAATGTATTTAGGGCTATCAGTTTGCCTATACAGAAGTTCTCAATTTTACTGTAATGTAGTTTATCAGCCTTTAACTTTATACTTAGTGCTGTTTGTATCCTGGTTGAGAAATCTGCCTCATCCAGAATCATGAAGAAATTCTTCTTTTTGTTGTTGTTTGTTTGTGGGTTTTTGTTTTGTTTTGTTTTGTTTTGAGATGCAGTCTTGCTCTGTTGCCCAGGCTGGGGTTCGGTGGCACAATCATGACTCACTGCAGCTTTGACCTCCTGGGCTCAAGTGATTCTCTCACCTCAGCCTTCCAAGTAGTTGAGACTACATGTGCACACCACCATGCCTGGCTATTTATTCATTTATTTATTTGAGTCTCTCTCTGTCGCCCAGACTGGAGTGCAGTGGCACGATCTCACCTCACTGCAACCTCCACCTCATGGGTTCAAGCTATTCTCCTGCCTCAGCCTCCTGTGTAACTGGGATTATAGGTGTATGCCACCACACCCAGCAAGTTTTCTGTATTTTTAGTAGAGACAGGGTTTCACCCTATTGGCCAGGCTGGTCTTGAACTCCTGACCTCAAGTGATCCACCCACATCAGCCGCCCAAACTGCTGGGATTACAGGTGTGAGCCACTGTGCCCAGCCAAATTAAACAAAAAAAATTTTTTTTTTGTAGTAACAGGATCCAGCTGTGTTGCCCAGGCTGGTCTCAAACTCCTGAGCTCAAGCGATTCTCCCACCTTGGTCTCCCAAAGTCCTGGGAATACATGCCCATCCCCTAAGATATTCTTCTATGTTTGTGTTTGGAAGCCTTAATATTTTTCTTTTCACACCAAAGGCTATAATCCATCTAGAAATTATTTTGTATATATTGTGAGGTATAATAGAATCAATATTTTTTCTATATGACTGTTTAATTGACCTAGAGCCATTAGGTGAAGAATGATCCATTGCCTATTTCTCTGAAGTCTGGTAATAACAATGTATTTATGGACCCTACTTTGTTTCATTGATCTGTTTGTTTATTTGTGCCAATACCATTGTGAGATATCTACTGTAGCATTAAAATAAGTCTTGATATCTGGAAATGTAAGTTTCAGCTTTGTTCTTGCAGATTATCTTTGCTTTTCTTGACACTGCATTTTTATATCATTGAAATCAGCTTGTCTGTTTTTAAAAATCTGCTGGATTTTGATTGGAATTGCATTGGATCTGTATGTCAATTTAAGGAAAATTGACATTTTCCAATACTAAGTCTTTTAAGTCATAAATATGCCATATCCATACATTTTTTAGTTCTTTTAAAATTTCTCTCAATAATGTTCATAATTTTTACTCTATGTCATTAATATCTTTTATTACATTTATTTTCAGGTGTTGGTTATTTTGATGTTACTATAAATGGTATTTTTTTCAGTTTCTATTTGTTTCTGGGGTGTGGAAATATTGATTTTTGTGTATTGACATTATATTCTTACTATATTCATGTATTAATACTAATAGTTTGTGAATTCTTTTGGATTGTATACGTACGCAATTGTGACATCTGCAAATAATGAAGATGGCAGCTGTCCTTGTTTTGCATCTCACTTCAGGAGCAAAGTTCCCTGTAATTCACCATTGTATATGATGTTTACTATAAAATTTTTTATAGATATTTTATTTGGTGAAAGAATTTTTTCTTTTTCTAGTTTGCTTCATTATGTACAAGCATAGAGCTTTATCAGATGCATTTTCTGCATCTTTAGAGATGATCACATGGTTTTCTCCTTTTTCCTTTTTAATGTAATAAATGACATTGATTTTTCAAATGTTAAACCAACTGTATCTTCCTGTGATAAACCTACTTAGTCATTATTCTTTTCAATTAGAATTTATTGTTAGTTGCCGGGCGTGGTGGCTCACCCCTGTAATCCCAACATTTTTGGAGGCCAAGGCAGGCGGATCACGAGGTCAGGAGATTGAGACCAGCCTGGCTAACACGGTGAAACTCTGTCTCTACTAAAATACAAAAAATTAGCCGGGTGTGGTGGCATGTGCCTGTAGTCCCAGCTACTTGGGAGGCTGAGGCAGATGAATTGCTTCAACCTGAAAGGTAGAGGTTGCAGTGGGCCAAGATTGCGCCACTGCACTCCAGCCTGGGTGACAGAGTGAGACGCCATTTCAAAAAAAAAAAATAGAATTCATTGTTAATATTAATTATTTTATTGTTTGTTAAAAGGTGTATCCTTTTATATATCACTAGATGTGATTTTAAATTATTTCACTTAAGGTTTTTGTTGTTGTTTTGGTACCTATGTGAAGGAAAGGGTTTGCTTGTTTGTTTGTTTTCTTGGAATGCCTTTTTCAGGTCTTGACATTTTATTCTGCTTTTATAAAACAAGTTTAGAAGTGTTTCCTCTTATTCTCTGCAATAGTTTGCAAACGTTTGATGCCTTTTTTTTTCTTTAAATGTTTGGCAGTGTGCACCAGGAAATGTTTAGAATTATGCATTTAATGTCTTTGAAAGATACAGATTCTTTAGATTTTCTTATTTCTTATGTCCGTTTTGTTTCAATGAATTTGTCTATTTCAACTAACTTTTAAAAAGCTATTGGCATACTTTTCATAGCATTCTCTTATTATTTGTTCACTTTCTGAACAACCTGTAGTATGTCCTCTTTCTCATTCCTGTCATTGACTATTTGTGCCTACTCTTCTCCTTGCTCAGTCACATCAGAGGGTTATCAATTTTATTAGACATTTCGCAGAAACAACTTTTGGGTTCATGACTGTTTTACTCTAGTTTTCTTTCCATATCATTAATATCTGCCCCTATCTTTATTATGTCCACTCTTACTTCTTTAGATCCCATAGGCTGTTTTTTTCCTAAACTTCTTGAGATGGATTATGAAATCATTAATTTTCATCTTTTCTCCCTAAAACATGTACATTTAAGTCTATAAATTTCTCTCAATGCATGCCTTATATTTAATTTAATAATTTTGATATGAAATGTTTTCCTTCATCATTCAGTTAAATTACTTTGTAAGTTTCATAATTATATATTCTTTGACTTGTAGATTATTTAGAAGTATAACATCCAACCATGAGGGAATTTTCCAGTAATCTTTTTAAAATTTATTTTTATAGCTTAATTCTACTGTGGTCAAAGAACATACTCCATATTATTTCAATATTTCAAAATTTGTAAAACTTGGTTTGTAGCTCAGAATATAACAAAGTTTGGGAGAATGTGGTGTGTAGTCTTCTGTTGTTGGATACAATGTTCTATGTATGTCAATTAGGTCACGTTTAGTAATTGTGTTATTCAAAATTATAACCTTCCTGATTTTTGTCTGCTTATTCTATCATGAGAGATGTGCTAAAACTACCCCGTGACTGTGCATTGTGCCTTCTGTATTTTGAGGCTAGGTTGGTAAGTATGTTCACATTTAGAATCATTGCATCTTCCTAGTGAATTGACCCTTCTGTTATTATAAAACGTTTCTTTCAGCACTTTGAGGATATCTCCCCATTGTCTTCTGACTTCAGTTTATTCTGTGAAGAAGTCAGCTATCAGTCTTCTTTTTGTTCCTTAGAAAGTAATTTGTCCTTTTTCTTCATCTGCTTTTAAGTGTGTTCCCTTTGTTTTGGGTTTTCATCAACTGGGCTATGGTGTAATTAGTGCCTTTCTTCAGCTTGAGGTCCAGGTGTCTCATGAATCTGTGGCTTGAGATCCACCATCAGTTTTGACAGATTCTCATTTATTATCTCTTCAGATTAACTTCTGTCCCAAGCTCTTTGTTATGTATTTATATGTAATTATACCTTTACCTGTATCCAATTTGTCTAATTTCCACTTTCTTTTTATCTGTCATTTTACTGATCCTTTGCTCAGGTGTGTCTGATTCAGGGATCAGCAGATTACGACCAGCAGGCCATCACTGTTTTTGTAAATAAAGTTTTATCAGAACAGCCACCCCTATCTGTTTACACATTGTCAATGGCTACTTTTGCACTATACTAGCAGAATTGAATAGTTGCAACAGAAACCATGTAGCCTGAAAACCTAAAATGTTTACTATCTGGCTCTTTATAAAATACTTGCCAAAGTCTATTTTAATCCACTTTTAAGTTTGTCCATTGAGATATTGATTTAAATTATTGCATCTTTTATTCCTAGAATTTCCATTTTAGTTATAGCTTGTTTCCAGTGAAATTCCCCATCTTATAATTTGATTTCTTGAACATTTTAATCTTGTTCCAAGTTCTCTGAAAAACAGAGCCCGAGGCAAAGTGTTCCAATACTTATGTTATAATCATAGGAATAGCATAAGGTGTTGCTAGGCCCCTCCTGCGGGGAAACAAGACTGAAGCCAAGGCCAGGGTTGCAGGAGGTGGTAATGGTGTACTTAAGTTTTTATATTTTCATCAGTTAATACCAATATCTGGATTTCCTGTCATTATGTTTATAATATCTATTTTTTTTCACTTTTTTGGGTTGTCATTAAATTTTGTTTTTTCTATTCTTGGTTATTTTTAAAGTTTGTGCTGTATATTGTGGAAGAAAGGTTGTGGATATAATTTGAGATTGTTGCAGATTTATTGATACTCTGTTAAAATCCCCTTTAAAAATTATTATCGGATTATTTTTGCTTCTAGATCTTCAGTCTAACACTCTTCCAACTGGATTATTTTAGCTGTCTTATTTTTGCTTCTAGAAGACAGCTAGGTTAGCAACCAGTGATCTTTATCCAACAAAGAATTGAAATAACTTGAACCAGGGCTTTATTCCCTTTGAAGGTTGTCGTGTTTCCAGTTTACTTTATTCCTATGATAGAACTTTCTAGGGTCCTGGGTTGGGAACCTGGGGTGTTTACCAACACCTGACACCTTGGAAGGCCTTGAGCTCTAGTGTTCGCTTTCCACTACGTGAGGCTGATGACAGATCTGTCCAGTTTCTCAGCTGCTCAGCCACCACTTGCAGACTGGAAAATGCCTTGAGCAAAAAGGTAGAGCCAAATGTCATGCCAAATTTGCTCACATTTCTGAGTTTCTTTTGTGTCTTTGGTCTTAGTCCTGCAAATCCTCACTGGCATGGTAGTTTTCTGATGCACTAAAATACACTAAAAATATTTTATGGGCCAGGCGCTTTGGCTCATGCCTGTCATCCCAGCACTTTGGGAGGCTGAGGCAGGTGGATCACCTGCTGTCAGGAGTTTGAGACCAGCCTAGCTGACATGGAGAAACTGCATCTCTACTAAAAATACAAAAACTAGCTAGGCATGATAGTGTGCGCCTGTAATCACAGCTACTCAGGAGGCTGAGGCAAGAGAATCCCTTGAACCTGGGAGGCGAAGGTTGCAGTGAGCTGAGATCGCACCACTGTTCTCCAGCCTGAGTAACAGAGCGAGACTCCCTCTCAAAAAAAGAAAAAAAAAGGCCGGGCGCGATGGCTCACGCCTGTAATCCCAGCACTTTGGGAAGCGGAGGTGGGCGGATCATGAGATCAGGAGATCGAGACCATCCTGGCTAACATAGTGGAACCCTATCTCTACTAAAAAAAATACAAAAAATTAGCCAGGCATGGTGGCGGGCACCTGTAGTCTCAGCTACTTGGGAGGCTGAGACAGGAGAATGGTGTGAACCCGGGAGGCAGAGCTTGTAGTGAGCCGAGATCGCGCCACTGCACTCCAGCCTGGGCGACAGAGCGAGACTCTGTGTCAAAAAAAGAAAGAAAGAAAGAAAAAAGACAGAAAAAGAAAAAGGAAAATTTTAGGCAGCATTTTTATTTATTCTCATTGGGGAGATTCATCAGAAACAAGCAGTCCTGCCACAGCCAGAAACAAAGCTCCTTAGCAGTGTATCCTATCTCTGTAATACCTGTGCTGTCTCCACTCCGTTACCATAACCCTGCCTCTCCTCCCCTACACACACATCTTGTGTCTGGAATTTTTATGTCATTTTGTAATTAAGCACATAAAACCACTATTTTAAAATCAGTCCTTGTTTAGATTCTCTCATAAGCTTTACTGATTTATTTAATCATTATTGCTTCTTGCATCTCACCACTTCTGTATTTATATTAGTTCTTAGGTACATTCTTTAGTAGTTTTTTTTCTTTTTTTCCAGTGAATATCTCTAAGTGTTAAAGTTTCACAATCTTTTTGTGTCGGAAAATATATTTATTTCATTGATTAATGATTGGTCATCTGATTATAGGTGAATAGCTGATAACTGATTACTGATTAATAACTTGGTTATAGAATTCTAGATCCAATATTCTTGTCCCTCACCACTTTGAGGACTTGACTTTGTTTTCTTGAATCCAATATTGCTTGTGAGAAATGTGATGTTAATCTGATTTTTCACATTTTTCTAGGTAATCATATTTTTGTATGTGATAACTTTTAGGATTTTTGTTTATGCTTTTTGTTTTATTTTTTAAAATGTCTAGAACTCAATGAGCATTTTGAAACAGAGACTTCTGTCTTTCTTAAAATCTAGGAAATTCTAAGCAATTATATCATTAAATATTGTCTCTTCATCATTCTATTTGTCTATTATCTCTATTTTTTAAAGAAATATAGCAGATTTATTGATATTCCTTATTAAAATTCCCTTTAAAAATTAAACTGTATTATTTTGATAAGCTGTTTCTTCCACTAAATATAGCATTTCTCATATGAAATATCTTTTATAATACTATTTCTATTTTATTTTATTTTATTTTATTTTATTTTATTTTATTTTATTTTTTGAGATGCAGTCTCACTCTGTTGCCCAGGCTGGAGTGCAATGGTGTGATCTCGGCTCATTGCAACCTCTGCCTCCCGGGTTCAAGCAATTCTCCTGCCTCAGCTTCCCGAGTAGCTGGGATTACAGGCACGTGCCACCACACCCAGCTAATTTTTGTATTTTTAGTGGAGCCAGGGTTTCACCATGTTGGCCAGGCTGGTCTTGAGCTCCTGACCTCAAGGGACCTGCCTGCCTCAGCTTCCCAAAGTGCTGGGATTACAGGCATCAGCCACCACGCCTGGCCCACCATATTTATTTTTATTGTTAAAATTTTTTATCCCAATTTTATTTCTTTTTTTTTTTTCAATTGCATTTTTTAGAGATTTTTCTTTTTCATGTTTTTTTGAGACAGAGTCTTGCTTTGTTTCCCAGACTGGAGTGCAGTGGCGTGATCATGGCTCACTGTAGCCTCAAACTCCTGGACTCAAGGTGTCTTCCTGCCTCAGCATCCCCAGTAGCTATAGCTGGGACTACAGGTGCATGCCACCACACCTGGCTAATTTTAAACTTTTTCTTTTGGAGAGATAGGATCTTGCTATGTTGACCAGACTGATTTCAAACTTCTGGCCTCAAGTGATCCTCCTGCCTTGAACTCCCAAAGTGCTAGGATTACAGGTGTGAGCCACTGTGCCTGGCCTGGTTTTTCTAACACATTAATTTTTTCTTTTACTTTTTTTTTTTTAGATGGAGTTTCACTTTTGTTGCCCCGGCTGGAGTGCAATGGTGCGATCTCAGCTCACTGCAACCTCCGCCTCCCGGGTTCGAGCTATTCTCCTGCCTCAGCCTCCTGAGTAGCTGGGACTACAGGCACATGCCACCACACCCAGCTAATTTTTGTATTTTTTAGTAGAGACCAGGTTTGCCATGTTGGCCAGGCTGGTCTCAAACTCCTGACCTCAGATGATCTACCCACCTCAGCCTCCTAAAGTGCTGGGATTATAGGCGTGAGCCACTGTGCCTGGCCACATTAATCTTTTCTTAGCATTTTTAATTGACAAAAATTGTACATATTTATAGTGTATAACATGATATTTTGAAATATGTGTATATTGTGGAATGGCTAGATGGAACTAATTAACATATATGTTACCTCATTGGTGCCCTATTTCCTTTTTTTTTTTTTTTTTTTTTTGAGACAGTGGTTCAAGACATTCTCCCACCTCAGCCTCCTGAGTAGCTGGGACTACAAGCATGTGGCACCATGCTGGGCTAATTTTTGTATTTTTAATAGAGATGGGGTTTCACCATGTTGGCAAGGCTGGTCTCGAACTCCTGACCTCAAGTGATCTACCTGCCTTGACCTCCCAAAGTGCCGAGATTACAGGTGTGAGCCACCGTGCCTGGCCCCCATTTCCTTTTAATTAGATACTAGACTGTTTAAACACCATATATTTGTACACTTAAGTTGAGTTCTTGCAGTTGTGCTTCTAGAAGAATTTTTCAGAAGGATGTGCTTAAATATATTATTATTAAAAATGTAAGAGTCTCCACTATGTGCTATATTGTGAGCAAACCCAAATCAATTCTCAATCTGTGTCGTCAAAATTAAAATCCAATGTTTCAGGAAGAAAGACAGTGTGAAACGAACAAACAAAAAAGTCTACCTACATTTTTTGTGAATCCATTCACAGGCATGGAATTATCTGGAAAAATGACTCCAGGGAGATTTGCAGAAGATCACCTGAGCCCCCATTTATGACAAATCTTAATGAAATGTCATCACATCTTAAACTTATTGGACTCTTGCCCCATAGTTTTTCTAATGGATGGGTGGTTGTCTACATACATGAAGAACATTTATCTTATTTTGAAAGGTGTGGAAAGCACTAGCTCCTTGTTTGCACGTGTGTTCTCACAGTTCTCTTTGTCCAGACCAGGTACACTGCAGCCAAAGACAGCGTGGTTCAGTTCTTCTTTTACCAGCCCATCAGTCATCAGTGGAGACAAACTGACTTCTTTCCCTGCACTGTGACGTGTGGAGGAGGTGAGGCCCAGGCTTTGTTCATGAATATTTAGAGCTCAGAGTTAGATAAATTAGACATTTACATTTTTGAAGCTGATTTTAAAATTGGTGTGGTGATTAGAGATGTCTCATCACACAGCACCTTACTCAGCAGCCTGAATGCAATCGTGTTAATGAAGAAGATGCATTTGCCTTTATTCTTGAAGACAGGTGCAAAACTGGATTTGGAAAATACCTTTTACTTTTAGCCAAAAAAAAAAAACAAAACAAAACTGTAAACAAACTTGTTTTCATGTGTTACTGCATTTCTCTTCTTGATTGCCCTTAAAGTACGTATTATTTTTAATTTTCTATGAAAAATCTGAGAAGCAGAAAGATGGAGTGACTTGCCCAGCCTGGTTGAGTCAATGGGTGTGTTGGTTCTAACGTTAGATTTACAACTTTTCTCTCCTCAGGTGCAAGAGTATAAGCTTATTAAAAAGAGAAAGGGTCCCTACTAAGTGTTAAGGGGAAAGCCCTGCTTATTGTCTGCTTAGTTCAAGGTCTTTTTTTTTTTTGAGTCTCGCTCTGTCGCCCAGGCTGGAGTGCCGTGGCCAAATCTCGGCTCGCTGCAACCTCCGCCTCCCAGGTTTAAGCGATTCTCATGCCTCAGCCTCCTGAGTAGCTGGGATTACAGGTGCCCACCACCATGCCTGGCTAATTTTTGTATTTTTAGTAAAGACAGGTTTCACCACGTTGGCCAGGCTGGTCTTGAACTCCCAACCTCAGGTGATCTACCTACCTTGGTCTCCCAAAGTGCTGGGATTACAGGCATGAGCCACTGTGCCCAGCCTTTTTCAAGGTTTTCATAGGCAGTTGAGGAAGGTTTGGGGACAAGTGTAATCCAGGGCTCCACACACACGCTACAAAAGCAGCATCTTTCATGCTCCGGTGGAAGATAATTGTCCATTTGATATGGAGAACTGGCAACTCTCTGGAGCAAATTAGGAGGCAACTAGAGCTACTGTCAAAATAATTCTCTTTTTCTGAACTGACCTTTTAAATCAAAGAATAAATGCATGCAACCCAGGAACCATGACTTAGTAGAATAGGGATTTATGTTGAAGCTTCCCCTTAGAGTACCAGGCAGTGGTACTATGTGTTTACCATGTGTCAAGCCAAGGGTTAGATGTTCATAATCACATTTATTCTTGACGAAAACCCTAAGGAAGGTCTCTTTTATTCCTGTCTTATGCATGAACAAACTGACACTTAGAAAGTGTAAAGAGCATACAGTAGTATCTTGTTCAGCTAGTAAACAGTGCAGCTAGGATCTGGTGCCAGGTCTGCTTGATGTCAGAGTCATGCTCTAAATGACTTTGCCCTTTGCCTCCCCTAAACCTCCTACTACACCTGGGACCAGATCAGGGTATACAGGCTCAGGTATGGTCTTGTTTGAAGAGCTAGAATAAATCCTTCTCCAGCCCAGCCTAGCTCCACATCTTTTCAATCCTTGAAGCCTACCGCATATCAATTTACTTAGAGTCAGAAACTGGCCTTTCTCCTTTAAACTACAGGTATATGAAGGAGGGCTCTTCAGTCAGTGAATATGCTGTGAATATGCAGGCAGATGTCTCTCTTCTGGAATTTAGGCTCCCCCTAAAACAACAGGGCAGGCACTTTTTTGGGAAGCACTGGGCAGCCCAGGCCCAAGAAGAAGTTTATGTCCCTGGAAATGGAAGAGAAGACTGAATAGTGCCACAGAAAGAAAGTAAAAGTGAATCTCCCCAGTTCGCCAGCTAGTTCTTCCCAGGGCCAGGGTTGAGGCAATGGACCACTTGATTATGATCCTGCAGCAGTGATTCTCACAGTGGGCTTCCTGGACCTGCAGCATCAGCATCTCCTGGGAACTAACTAGACATGCAGATTCTCAGGCCCCACCACAGACCTACTGAGTCAGAAACCCCAGAGTGTGGCTCATCCTCCAGGAGATGATGGTACACACTCCACTTTGAGAACCATTGCCTCTTTAAGCCAGTGTCTTTGGATAGCAGCTGGAGCCATATTGCCATCACTATTTTTGCCATATCTGTGTTATTCCTGCACTGTTATTTACTAAAGGATTTTTCTTTAAGGGGGCATTTATTCAACTTAAATAAACATATTAACAAAAAGAATTTAGTAGTACTACCGTAAGTGGAAATCTATCCCTTGTCACAAATAGAGTACAATCACAAAATTAATACAGTGAAAACAAACCAGTGGAGTAAGTCATCTTCAAGTTTCTACCAGCTCTGACATTCATTCAGGTTATTTTCAATTCCTCCAGAATTTTCTTGAATGTTACAAGCATTTTTATGAGGCAAAGGTTCCTTTACATCTTTGAGTCACTTATGACTCTTTGGGTACTCTTACTCTGCAGAAAAACAAACATTTCTCTCTCTCCTTTTTGTTTGTTTGTTTGTTTTAGAGGCAGGTCTCACCAAGTTGCCCAGGCTAGACTCAAACTCCTGGGCTCAAGCGATCCTCCAGCCTCAGCTTCCCGAGTAGCTGGAACTACAGGCATGTGCCACCATGCCTGGCTAATTTTTAAAGTATTTTGTAGAGATGGCATCTCACTATGTTGCCCAGGCTGGTCTCCAACTGGTGGGCCCAAGCCATCCTCCCACTCCAGCCTCTCGAGTAGCTGGGAGTGCAGGCGTGTGCCACCATGCTTGGCTCAAACATCTATTTTTTTTTAAATTTTATTTCTTTGTTCTTACACATAGTCATTCAGAGAGACGTTCACATTTGGATCCATAAGATAAAAGACACTTACTACTCCAGAGGAGACATTTTATAGTGGGATTCAGCTTAGTCCAGTTGATCAAATTCTTGGGAAGCAAATAGGTGTTTCTCCTACTTGGGTGCCCATGGAAAGACATAGTCCTGCTGGAACTATAAATGTGCATGAGCACTTAGCAGTGAGATCGTCTCCAAAGACAGCAGTGGATGTAAGAACAGAAGGGAGATTTTAGGCTGCTTTTGGGGTTCCTGCCGTTTTCTATACACTGGCAGAATTTCAATACATTTGTTCAAGATATAGAAAGGCAATCTGCCTCATTTCTTTTGCTTTTTGCTATTTCTAAACTGTGATAAAACAAAAGAGGAAAATTAATTGTCTCTCCTCAAATTATAAACACCTGTATATGCCCTGTTTTCATTTAGAAGTCTATTTCTATTTAGAACAAAGATTTTTTTTTTCTGACTCAAGGAGCTGTAATCTCATTTTGTACTTGTTTTGGGGAAAATAAAACACACACATAAAACCCACAAGGAAAACATTACCAAAATTTAATTATATTAGTAATCAAATCTGTGTGATGTGTGTGAATGGAATTTCAGAGTTTTTTGGATAATCAAGAAAATTAGTTCATCGGTCTCTAAGGTACCGGGGGTACTTGAATGGACTTTCCTAGTCCCGTCTGTAATCGTCGATGTGAGACACTTGAGATCAATTTGGAGAAGGTACCTAGATTGCCATTGCCATCTGATATCGTTGACTTTCTGGCAGATATTGGCACCCAAGTAACATTTTATTGACTCCATTTGGATTTTCATTCTTGCGGTTTCGACCTTGCTTTTTATAATGCATACCAGTCCGTCCTTCTGCACTCAGCTTACATCCAAGCCATGTCTTGTAGAAAGCTGTCTAGTGGTTTATAAAATCAGATTCCTCTCGACAATCAGGACTTTAAATGTATTTTTAGACCTTTAGACCAACTGGCAGAGGCAGAGTGCTTGGCTTTGGGCATTTTTTCTTTCGTAAAGAGCTCATTCTAGTTTTGAAAAATTACCTTTTTTTGAAAAAGTTTAACTTTAACAAGACACTTATGTGGTGACAGGAAACTTGGAATCAGATCTTTCAGGAAATAGAAGCATCATTTTGTGACTTGCTTTTTAAATTTATAGCACTCATCTATTTGCAAAGTTCACTTTCCTCAGAAACTCTACAAATTAGATTTAATAGAATCAGGAATAAGTCTTCATTCCTTCCGTTTGAAGGCTTGTGAGATGAGGGCTGGGGAGTGACATACGGGGATGGATTTTGTTCCTTTCTGTATAGACAATGCTTAATTCCCCATTTGGAAAGCTTATTGGTATTGCAGGTGCCTGTGGCATCCCAGGGGAGCAGAGGAGTAAAATGCGGTACTGTGTATGCATATCATAAAATGTTATGAAAGAAATATTCAACCCAGCAACCACCCAGCGCAAGGGTAGTTCTCAAAAACATGATGTTGAGTGAAAAAAGTGGAAAACGGAACAAGATTTAAAACACATTATCATTTATTAAGTTAAAAACAGATACACAAAAAAACAACCTTACGTAAGACGGTTGCATATTTCAGGACGTATCAACAACAAATCGAAATAGGTGTGTTGCGGGGATTGGAATGGGAGTGTCAATAAGGGAAGAAGAGAGATTATACGGAAATGAGAGAAGGGCCTTGCACAGTGCCGTGGTGACAATGAGGAGAAAAGACAATGAACCCAGGAGAATGAATAACTCTCCTGCACCTGGGCTGGAAACAGTTCTTAAGAGGAGACTATTGTCATTTTTTAGTTCGAAGTGCTGAGAGTACCACAGTTGGTATTAATTGTCGTTCTCAATTTTGGCCACGCATTTTAGTCATCTGAGAAGAACCTGAGAATCTTTTTAAAAAGATACTGTTTTCCTGGATCCCAGCCACAGGACTTCTGACTTAATTGGACCATGAAGGAACCTGGGCATTAGAGTATATTAAAAGCTCCCATGTGGTTCTGTTATAGAGCCAGGGTTGAGAACCACTGAGTTAAGTTTCTTAAAGAGGAAAAAAAAAAGTGTGTGGCAAGTGATAACTCTGCCAAGTAAAAATGAAACGGATGCAATATTCAGACTTGCCTTTTCTAACACTTTAGGTTATCAGCTCAATTCTGCTGAATGTGTGGATATCCGCTTGAAGAGGGTAGTTCCTGACCATTATTGTCACTACTACCCTGAAAATGTAAAACCAAAACCAAAACTGAAGGAATGCAGCATGGATCCCTGCCCATCAAGGTTTGTGTCATTGTCCACACCCTTTTTACTTCAAAAAGAAACAAATCAGCTTCAACTGAGACTGATCAATCTTTGCAGGGCAATACATTTCCATTTCCTGGCTTTGTCTACTGGCGGCAGGTGCCTACATTCACATTTGTAACTATGGTGCATAGGAATTAGGACACATTCATTAGGAATGAAAGTCTAGCTTTCTCTTGTCGTGGGCTATGTGTTCCTAAGTTTTTTTATAATGAACCCTTTTGAACAGCTCCTGCTCTCTTCATCCAAGTAAAATGTCTAGTCCATCTGCCAATCATAAATATCTTTCACTCACCACTTTAGCTTTTAAACTGGGTCACTCATTATCATCTTTTGGCTTTTGAAGTATTCATATTAAATTCAGTATAAATAATGCATTGTGCAAGGAAGTAAAAGTTTTAATGCCAAAGTATAAAAAGCTATGTGTAAACTATCCTATTGCATAATTTAGTACCTGCTGACTTGGATTGCCTGGGGAAGTTTCCTGGCTTACTACAATACCTTAAAATAACAGAACAATATCAAGTCCCAGAATCCTCCAGATATCTGCCAGCTGGCTTAGGAAGAAGTGTGCAAGTGGAAAAGGAAGCGTTCTCAGTGGATTTCATTTCCTGTTACTGAACTGCACATTTCCTGTAAGCCTGGTTGAACATAATTATTAATAGAGACCTTTCAAAGGACAAATTCTGTGAAATAAAGTGGTTTTCTGAAGAGCCTACTAATAGGACAGTGTGTTAATATCACTAATATATTAAGAGAGTAATGATTATAAAAAGGAATAAATTTATTGAAATTGCAAGATACTTTTCTCCTTTGATTAATATACTGCTAGTTTAGTTTTCTACATTTTCAAATAGAACTGGGGAATTTGTGTCGTAGATATTCTTGACAACTAAAGAGATGGTGGCTGAATTTTTGGGAATGGTTGATAACACTTGATATTTTTAGTTTCCAATTTGGAAGAGCTCTGTCTCTTGGGATGTCAAATATTATATTCGTCAATTAATGAATGTGTTAATTTATTATAGAAATGATATTCTCACAATGATTTCATTTGTAGTGATGGATTTAAAGAGATAATGCCCTATGACCACTTCCAACCTCTTCCTCGGTGAGTTATATGTTTCCTTTTCCTTTTTGCAATTTAAGTAGTTTGCAAGGAACTGTAGCATCTGTAGCAATAGCCTAAAATGTATGAGGGTTAGATATTAAATACTTTATAGAGCTAAGGGAAAACAGACTTCTACTCAATAATAGGAAAAATCTTTCTAAGAATTAGATGGAATAGACTGCCTCAAAAGATGATGTTTCCCATCGCTAGAGCTGTCAAGCATATCTTGGACAACTGAGTATTATAGCAGGAGCTCAAGTGTTGCAATTAATCAGAAATTTTAATCCCCTTTTATACCGAGATGAGTAGTATGGTCCTTCCTGACTCTGAGGTTCTGTGATTCTCTAATAATATTGTCCATTAGTATTTAACAGTTTAGAGGCAGTTTGAAGATGCAGCCACACTGTATGTTTTAATTGATTTAATTTTCACAATGGTCTTATGAAGGGTAAATAGGGAAGGTATATTATTCCCAGTTGACAGAAACCCCGGATGTGAGGAGCTAAGTACCTTGTGACAAGAATTTGTGTGTGGCAGTTAAGAATAAAGTCTTGGCCGGGCGTGGTGGCACATGCCTGTAATCCCAGCACTTTGGGAGGCTAAGGCAGGCGGATCACTTGAGGTCAGGAGTTCAAGACCAGCCTGGCCAACATGGCGAAACCCCATCTCTACTAAAACGTAGAAAAATTAGCCGGGCTTGGTGGCAGGTGCCTGTAATCCCAGCTACTTGAGAGGCTGAAGCAGGAGAATAGCTTGAACCCAGGAGGCAGAGGTTGCAGTGAGCCAAGATCTTGCCACTGCACTCCAGCCTGGGTGACAGAAAGAGACTCCATCTTAAAAAAAAAACTAAATTAATTAAAATTTAAAAAAGGCTGGGCACAGTGGCTCATGCCTGTAATCCCAGCACTTTGGGATGCTGAGGCAGGCGGATCACGAGGTCAGGAGTTCTAGATTAGCCTGGCCAACATTGTGAAACCCTGTCTATACTAAAAATACAAAAATTAGCCGGGCGTGGTGGCGCATGCCTGTAATCCCAGCTACTAGGGAGGCTGAGGCAGGAGAATTGCTTGAACCCGGGAGGCAGAGGTTGCAGTGAGCCAAGATTGCGCCATTGCACTCCAGCCTGGGTGACAGAGCGAGACTCTGTCTCAACAAAAAAAAGTATAAAGTCTTATGACTCCCAGTCCCAGGCTCATTCAGCTGAACCACAATTGATACCTTAAGGCCATACTTTTTGCCACCATCTTTGCAAACTTCAAACAAACAACAAATAAATAATATAATTTTATTTGTTTGCTTTTGAGCTGGGAACATAATCCTTGGACTGCATGTTCCGTGTCCTGTGGAGGAGGGATTCAGAGACGGAGCTTTGTGTGTGTAGAGGAATCCATGCATGGAGAGATATTGCAGGTGGAAGAATGGAAGTGCATGTACGCACCCAAACCCAAGGTTATGCAAACTTGTAATCTGTTTGATTGCCCCAAGTGGATTGCCATGGAGTGGTCTCAGGTAAGATTTGAGAATATGCCACTTTTAATTAATTCTCATATTTTAAGGGATATTTTCTATATGCCCACCATGGTGCTAGACAGCATGGAGACAAAAAAAAAGTGGTAAAAGAGCATGGTTCCTACTCCAAAGAGCTTAGGAAGACAGTTGGAGGACGAGGGAAGAAAGACCACAAGCATCATGGTAGGTAAGGATAATTAATATTAAGGACATTAATAATAATATTTCCATACAATTACCAGCGTAATTAATATTAAGTACTGTAAAGAACAAATCTGTAAAGAACAAATGTTGAAGCAGAGTCAATCAGGAATTATTTGTTGCCCTTGTGGTGCCTAATCCATCTTTGAATAATTTAAACAAGCAAGAATTACAATTTAAATTGTTTAAATTCTTTGAAGAATGTAAACAAGCAAGAACCTGAGAAACATCACTGGGTTAGGGTTAGTGTTAGGGAGATGGCCAAACAGAGATGGCTTGAGCAAAGGCAGTAATGACAAGAAGTGACTCAAAGTTGAAGATTTGAAGAGATGACCCATGATACTAAGAACTGGAAGATTAAGAGATTGAAGAGATGGCCCATGTTACTAAGAATTGGGAGATTAAGTTGGAAATGCTGACACGACATGAAAGTGTGTGTCCTTGATCCAGTAGCCACTAAGAACCTTCACAATTTTTGTGAAGACATAATATATTTTAAGTAATTGAGGCAAGATAGCCTAACATTGGGAAAGACCAGAGGCGGGCAGCCTATTTAGAAATCATCCGTGGGGTCAAGTTGTATGAAAAAAGAAAACAGAAGAAGGAAGACACCTCAGAGGTATAACAAGGTTCATGTCAAATTAGCGTAGTTTTCACTTTCTAAAGAGATGACTGAGTAAGCCTCCAGAACAAATAAAATGCAGCCGGATTAGTCAAAGATGAAAAATGCAGACATTGGTATTTAATTATTTAATCTTAATCCTTTAATTTTCTAGAGAGTGAGATGTAGTTGACTCAAGTTTCTCCAGCTTTCTTAAGTGATTTCTGCACACTTAGTTCATCATATATGTGCATTAATATATCTATTCATATATTTATTCAATGGGTCAGCTACCATACTAAGAAGTAAATACAACTTGCTCCAACCACCCAAAAGCTTAGAATCTAGTTGCACAGACATGCATGCAAACAAAGTTGTGTTACAGTATTGTATTGTGCATGAGTAGTGTCATGTGCCCAGTACTTCAGAGGCACAAGGTGGAATGATTCACTCCATCTGAAGGTGTCAGGAAAGCTTCAGAAAGGAGGTAGCACTTGAACCTGAAGGACAAGTGTCAGGTAAAGACCATATTAATCTTTTTCTGATATCCCCAGACTAAACATCATCACCCTGTAAGAACTTTATTCAAACTTGCTGGGGAAGAAGTTACCAATTAATTTTTGGTCACATACTCCCTAAAAAGAAGATTAGAGAATTACGTATTTCTTCACATATATTTAGGTTGACATCTGAAATTTCCTATCACAAGTTTAAATAATTACAAAGAATATCATTTCAACATGTTGTGAATGTTGACATTTTAAAATAAGAGTGTTGCAGCATTCAAAAAAATCTGTCTAGTGGAATTTAAATGCCATGATAATTTCTGTCTTTGCCATCTTTCATTTAAAAAATACAGGGGCGAGCTCTTCTTTAACAATTTGGATGTTGAGCATATTTCTCCCTTTGAACTCACATTTGCAATCTACTCTCCCCACAGAATTTTATTCTAATATAATGTATTTTTATGCTTTAAAGTCTTTTTTTAATTACACTATTCTACTTCTCTCCAAGAAAATATATATGATCATTGAAATTAATTTATTTTACTTTCCTGTGGCCATAAGGCCCTAAGTATTTAAAATATTCCTCTGAATTGAGTTAATTTTAATACACAGTCAAAATAACATATATATATATATATTTCAAAGTTTGGTAAATAAGAATAACACATAAAAATTACATTTTCATTTGAATACACACTTAGTTCATCGTGTACATGCATTAATATATCTTGATAGAAGATAAGTGGAACTTAAAAAATAGTCCATATATTCATCATCAGAATGAGCCATGTGTTCAGCAATGATTTTATTGTTAATTTTTTCTATTGGTTTCTTATTTTGTTTTGTTTGCCTTTGCATGTATACACTGGGAAAGCTTGTTCACATAAATCAATAGACCGGGATGGAAGGATTTTATTTTAGCAAGGTCGGTTTGTTCTTTGAACTCTTGAGTTACGTGCCAGAATTCATGTGATGGTCTATCATCAAAAATTATTTTTAAGGGTCTTTCTACTGGCAATTTAAGTCCTCTTTCTATTTTGTTGAAAGCAAAAAATATCATCTCAGCTGCAAAAGGATTTGTTATCGAGACATTAGGGACTTTCACTTTTTCAGCCCCCAATCAACATTATTTCTACAACTGCAGAGCTTGTTTTCAGCTCTCATAAGTCCTAGCCATATGTTTTATGTTGGCTTTAGAGCTTTTATATCACTCTCCATCCCCATAAATATCATGACTTTATCATTATGTATATTATCAGAATAGAGGATGTTAACTAGCTCTTCTCATTCACCATACTTCACCCTTAATACTTTTCACTTTTTTCAAAAATCAAATATATTCTCAGTGATGAGGATTTTCCATCATCGAGGACATATGCAGCTCCACAGAGGAGTTCTGGAACCGTTGTAAACAGTGACAGTGCCATTAGGGGAAGTGTCCGGCTTCCCAGAACGGCGGTTTAAAAGGAGAGGATACTCCTTTGGATTAACCAGTTGTAGTATAGTTATATCTTGTACTGTTTTCTTTCTTTTTGGGTGAATTTTTTTCTTTCTTGGCTAAAACAGCCACTCAATATTATATATATATATATCTCAAATTGATAAATTTGGGGGTAGGTGAGTCAATTTTCCAAAAACAGGGTAATCTCAAGCTTCGCTGAACTCATTAAAGTATTTGTTCAGTGGTTTCAAGAGTGGCATCATGAACTAGAGAGATTTCCCAATATTCTGCCTGATGTGTGTACACTGAGAAAGGCCTCCATATCCTCGAAACATATCTTTGAAACTTGTCCCTAGCAACACCCAGGTACAAAGTGCTTAGGGGGTCAGAAAATAATTTTCAAGCTCCTTAAAGCGGTGGCTTGGCCGTGGCTTTGGCAATAGATGGCTCTGGGAGGAAATTCCACTCTGCCTGTTAGGAACTGTGTGACCTTGAGCAAGATCCTTAGATGGTGGGCCATTTGCTTATCTGTTCAATAAGCCTGAAGCTACTGACCCGGAAGTGGGTCGGGAGGATTCATGAGATAACAAATGAAGGAGGTGCCTGTCCCATAGCAGGTAACCAAAGGCAACCAAGAACCCTCAGCCCCTCCCTGGGGTGGATCCAGAATTAGTGGGGTCTGAAGTTTGTACAGATTGGAGGGGACTCCTCAAAAACAAGAATATAAAACACAAATATTGAGTATTGAAGAGAATGTTTATTTAGAATCAGAAAGGAAATTATAAGAAATTACAAATTTTAGAAAGCTGACAACAACCACATTGTGAACTCTGGACTTGATAATATTTAATAATGATATATTAAATGATGTATTAGTTATGTTAATAATGATGTATTAATAGGGGTTCATCGGTTGGAACAATGGCACCACACTAAGGCAAGATGTTAATAATAGGGAAAATCATAGGGGGAAAAAGGGGTGAAGGGGAAGATTGGCGCTGTCTGTACTGTCTGCTCAATATTTCTATAAACCCAATATGGTCCTCAAAAAATATAGTCTATCAATTTTTTTTAATGCGTACATATATACACTCCCCAACATGCAGATTATATTAGTCCATTCTCACACTGCTGTAAAGATACTACCAGAGACTGGTTAATTTATAAATGAAAGAGGTTTAATTGACTCACAGTTCCACATGTCTGGGGAGGCCTCAGGAAACTTACAGTGATGGTGGAGGGTGAAGTAGAAGCAAGTACCTTCTTCACAAGGCAGCGGGAGACGGAGAGAGAGCATGAAAGGGGAAGAGCCCTTTATAAAACCATCAGATCTTATGAGAACTCACTCACTATCATGAGACCAGCATGGGGAAAACTGCCCCCATGATCCAATCACCCTCTACCAGGTCCCTCCCATGACAAGTGGGGATTATGGGGATTACAATTCAAGATGAGATTTGGGTGGGGACACAGAGCCAAATCATAACAGATAAATTTGAAAAGCTATTCTAGATTTTTATATGACATGAAAACATTCCACTCATAGGCAAGAGTAACTTTCAAATCATAAACAAATAATCCAAGAAAAAAAATGCTGACAACACAAACTTCACAAAAATTCAGAAAAATAATAGCATAATGTTTTTATTAACTTTAACTGCAGGCAGTTATAGATGTATGGGGATACATCTATAGTATTTTTTTCTATAGCGTTTGGCTGAATACTCTTTGATGGCCTCGTTATATGGTAGCAGTTTTGCAAGACTGACTTCTATAGACAGAATAGAAAAATAATCCTCTGGCATAATTCATTAGAATTTTATTATATTTTTATTGACAGTTCAGAAAGGTTTCATTCGTCTTCAAAAATTATTTTGGGTAGGGTCATGTAAACGTTTAATCAAACTTGAGAAAACTTGTAACAAGTTTCTTTGATATTTGAGCAGTAAGATTTCAGGGCATTTTTAATTTCTTGAACTATGATCTCACCTTAAATACTTTTTGAATTGAGAAGTGGAACAAGGTTGTACAAAAGAGGGGCCCTGAAATACAAGTATCACAGAAAATTAGCCTCTGTACCCTTCCTTACATAATATTTGTCTAAAAGTCTTTTGTGTTTAACATTTATGTAGTTCAATGGCTCTCCTTTGCATTCGATAAAATAATGCCTTTGTGGTTCTCTTAAAAGAAATGCGTTGGCTTCTCTTTTCTTCTTTGAAGTGCACAGTGACTTGTGGCCGAGGGTTACGGTACCGGGTTGTTCTGTGTATTAACCACCGCGGAGAGCATGTTGGGGGCTGCAATCCACAACTGAAGTTACACATCAAAGAAGAATGTGTCATTCCCATCCCGTGTTATAAACCAAAAGGTAAGTCTGTGGTGCACTGTAAATTCAAATCAAATGGTATTTTCCAGCTCCCATTCCAATATTGTAGCATTTCCCTTTCAACTTACTACTTTCTTATAAAAATTGTTTTATTGACAGATTGCAATAGACCTTCCCATCTAGATAAAGAAGTTAGATATATGTGAATTATTCATCTGGAGGGAAAACTGAGCTCCTGTTGATTCAGTACAGATGGAGTAGCTCCTATCTATCTAGTTTTATACTAACATTTCTTGGTGGACGTAAGAAAATTAAATGCAGTCCCTCCCTTGAAGAAAAAGAAGAAGAATGGCGGGGGAGAGATTAAAAAAGGAGGGGAAGGAAAAGTAGAAGGAAGACAAGAAAGAAGAGCAAGAAACAGAGGAAGAAGTAGAGGAGGAGGAGGAAATTATTCTTTTCCCAAGATTCTCATTCTTCTTTATAGCTACCTCTCCGCTGGAGTATAAGATTTTTGAGGGAGGAATGATGTCATCTTTATCATGTGTACTAATGCATGGAATGAATGAAAACTTCCCGTTCCCAGTGGAGATCTATGGATGCATTTATAATCTCTCCAGTAGTTCACATTTGTTCCACATGAAAGAGCAGAAATGGGTAGCATCCAGGGATAGGAGGATTTGGCATCAGCTCTCTGATATATGATCTTCTCTGTACATAATTATTTCCATGTTCTTTAATGTTAACCATCCTCATGAAAAGTATCTTCCATCTTGAAATGGGAGAAAAGATTATTCCCAACTATTAGTAAGAAGGACTCCTCCTTAGTACTTGAGAGAGGATGGTAAAACTCTCTTTTGTTATTTCTGGGTTCATTATTCATACAAATAGCCTCATAATTAGCCATTCAATAAATATTTTTGAGTACGTCTATCTTGCAGAAAAATCACTAGTTGCCATGACAGGTACAAACATTGACTACTTAACTCCATCAGTGAAGTCTTTTTTCCTTCCTTCTGCATTTATGATACTTTCATAGCCACTTTCATTGTGTCCATAGTTTCCTTGAAGCACCCTAAAGTTATTTTTATTTCTCACTTCATAGATAGATTATTCCTTTCTTCACATCAAGGAGGCTTCAAAGGACAGGAAGGGGGGCAACAGTTTGTTCCTCCATGCCAGATGTAATTGGTAATCATCTCCCTCAACAACTACAACAACAGTAAAAGTCTGAGTAAACTATAACACAGACTCCTTCATCCCCCCTAACTTTCTTAACTTTCATATTATTTGCCTTTCTCTATTAATGTTTGCATTCCATGGGCAAAAATAAAATGTGACCAAAGATAGCAAGCTGATATGGTTGAAGTAAAAGCTTCAATATATGAACAACAGAAATTGGTATTGATTTATAAAAGGCATTTTTATGTTAACTTTGACAGCATTTTCAACTGTATCATGTGATCATTTTGGTTGCATTTTAATAATGTATTAATTTTTTTAATATACAGCAGAAGTGTTTAATTCATTCCAGCAGCCACCTAATGTATTGTACTAAGGAACTCAACTTGCATTTGAAAAACATGACCTCTTTATAAATGAAATCTTCAGCCAATATGATCACCTATCCAACTCCTTAATGATTAATAGTAATTAGGCTCATTGTTTATGTTCTCTTTTTCTTAGAAAAAAGTCCAGTGGAAGCAAAATTGCCTTGGCTGAAACAAGCACAAGAACTAGAAGAGACCAGAATAGCAACAGAAGAACCAACGTGAGTCCAGGACCTTTTGTAGGAATAATCAGGGCATAGCCAGTTAACATGATATATGTAATTTTTGTACTCATTGGAGTACAGTGATACATTTAATATCCAAATGACCTGGATTTACAGACTCTAGAGAGCTTGAGCTGGCTAGAATTTTTCTTTGTTTCACAATTCAGCAGTCCTCCTTTGGCAGTTTCTCTGAGCAGCACAGAAAAGAACAGTGTTACTTAACTCAAAGCAGATCCAGTGGTCTGCTACACTTAAGAGACTGGGGATAATTTCTAGGTTTTAACGCATGTGATTTGACCATGAACCATCATAGTATCATACAAATAAACCAGTCATTCCATGGGTAAGTCATGGTCAATCTCTATAAAATCAATTAAGTTGAAATGCATTAGTCGCCTGAGTGATCATAGGGAAATGGAAAGAACAAGGTACTAAGAGTATTGGAGCTTAGAACCACCCCTGCTAACTACATGACCTAAGACAAGTCTAATTTTTCTGTGTCTTATTCTCCTTACCTATAAAAGGAGCAGGTTGGGCTTGATCTCTCCAGGGTTCATTCCAACTCAAAAATCCAATGACTACCATCTGCATGTGATTTGATGGATCTGGATTGTAACAGTGCCAGTGGAAATTAAGAATCAAGAGGAAATCAAAGAAGCATTCTGGAGGCAGTTATATAGGGACAAAAAGAGAGCAAGAAATCAAAGGTGCTCTGAGATTTCTAGTCCAGGAATCTGTAAGAACAACAGTACCAATGATAGACTCAAGTAATTGAACAGAACAGCTGATTCCATGTCAAACATGTTAAGTGTTTGGTGCTGACAGGCTGTCTATGAAGAGAGCAATTCCCAGAGCATCAGAGGAAAAGGGGTCTCAGCAGTAATCTGGCCACTTTCCCTCTCGGAGCAGGCATTTCTTCTTCAACACCTTCAGCAATGGGCAGAGTTCACTGCATTAAGAGACACCTCATTCTTGTGTTGAGCAACCCGTTATTTGCAAGATCTTTTTCTTCTGATGAGACAGAATAGACCTCCTAATTTGTGTTCTCTGAAGCAGAAAAAAAAATACATCTATGCCCCATCCCATGTGACAAGTTTTCACAAATATGAAGAAAGCTGCCATGGATCCCGAGAGCTTTGTCTTTCCCAAGTTCATCATTCTTAGCCTTTTCAGCAGTCTTCATGCACTGTTGTTTTTAGATCCCTTCCCAACCTCCTGTGCTTTTCAGAACCCACTCTCATTTGTCAATCTCCCTTTTAACTGTGGTCCAGCCCAGTGGTGAGCCCCAGGGCAGTGTGGGTTACTTTGCTTTGAGAAGGCACATGTGGCAAAGTGATGTGGGCCAACATAGCTGGCACATCACACTCATGACAGGCACAGACTTCTCCACGTGGACCACTGTCAGTGCTGGCTATGACCACAGAAGAAACTGTGGACCATGTGAGGGGGAATGGCTTCACAGTATTTGAGTAAAAAGAGAAGAGTGTTGGGCTCCTGACAGAAGCTTGGAGATTTAGAGGAAGAGGGGGAATCAAAAGAGGAAGATGGTAAGGGAGTAAAGTAGTGGAGAGAGGGAGGAGTAAGACCCAGGAAAGCTTATTGTTCCAGAGACCAAAGGAGGAAGGAGTTTAAGGAGGCAAGGAGGCAAGCAGCAGATGGATTCAAATCTCACAGAAAGACAAGGAAAAACCATGAGGAAAAAGAAAAGCCTACTTTGATTAACAAGAAAGGCTTTTTCAGTGAATTTTAGAGTAGTAGCATTCAAAGGGTAGAGAATAAAACATTGTGGATATTTCAGAAATAAATTTCCAAAAAAGAAGAAAACGGAGCAATGGGTATTTAAGTACTAAAGAAGGAGCAAAGATTGGTAGTCAAGCTGATGGAAAAGTGTATACGTATGTGTTTGTTGTTTTTCATTTTGATGTTAGGGCAATCTTAAATTAAAAAGATATGGTTTTGCACAAGTCAGTTAATATCTGTAGACCTTCCAACTGTATAAGGAAGGCATTAGGCTAAATGCTGCTGGAACCTTCTCACATCTCTGATCACCTACAATCCTGTAAGGGAAGGAGTCTATAGAAAGAAAAGGGTTTGAGGCACTTGAGAGAGAGAGTGTGTAGTTGTCACAGAAGGAAGGTCACAGAGTCCTTTGTCTAGAATGATGGGTCCTACCAAGATCTTTTGCTTTCAAAACACAGTTAGATGATAGTTGATAATGCTTCTGTATGTCCTCTTTTGGGTAATAGGGTTGCAGTCCGTCCAGTTCCCCAAACTAGAAGCCTGGATTCTTTCTTGGCTCCTTCTCATTCTTCTCTGATGTGTAATTAGCCACTGAGTTGTGCCGACTATATTTACTAAAATCTTTCTTGGTTCCAGCTCCTCCTTTCCATCCAAACTACCATCCTTGTACAGGTCCTGAAATCAGTTCCCAGGACACCTACAACAGCTTTCTAATTTGCTCCTGAATTGCTTCCCTCAAATCCACCCCTACACAACACAGCCACCAGAGTAGTCTATCTAGGTAGGGCACAAGTCTAATTCTTTTTGTTTTGTTGAAACAGAGTCTCACTCTGTTGCCCAGGCTGGAGTGCAGTGGCGTGATCTCTGCTCACTGCAACCTCCGCCTTCCGGGTTCAAGCGATTCTCCTGCCTCAGCCTCCTGAGTAGCTGGGATTACAGGCATGTGCCACCATGTCAGGCTAATTTTTTGTATTTTTAATACAGACAGGGTTTCACCATGTTAGCCAGGATGGTCTCGATCTCCTGAGCTCGTGATCCACCCGCCTCAGCCCCACAAAGTGCTGGGATTACAGGTGTGAGCCACCGCACCTGGCCAAGTCTAATTCTTTCTTTGCAATGTTCAGAATATCCAAATGTCTCCCCATCACTCAAAGATGTATGTGGGTTCATATGCCCAATGGGACTTGGCAGGGTATTACCTTTCCTGGTCCCCAGCCTCATGTCTGGCCACCTCCTTTTTTTTGCCTTGAGTGGGATGCTCCAGCCACACTGACTTGCGGGCTGTTTCTTGCCCACAGCAAGCTGCCTCTTGCCTCCTCTTTAATTACACTCCCCTCTTAATTGGGAGTGGCCCCACCTGTTAAGTCTTTTTCTGTAACTTTCTTTTTAATCATAGGAAATTGCAAACCTATTTAAAAGAGGAGAAAACAGTGTAATGAACCCCCATGTCATGTTCATAACCCAGTATCAACAATTATCAACCCAGGGCCACCCTTGTTTCATCGAAACCATCACCACTGCCACTACCCCCTGATCATTTTTGAAGCAAACACAGACAGCACATCATTTCATTCATAATTATGTATCTCAAAAAGAAGTCTTTAAAAAATAATCAAAATACCATTTTTGAAATGCTATCCTCAATACTTCTATCAGAATCACCCGTGGTGCTTTTTAAAATGTGGTGATTTCCAGGCCCCACTGAGTCAGATACTGTAGGAGTGGGGCTCCATCACCAACATTTTCTTTTTCTTTCGGCTGCCAGATCTTTTTTTTTTTTTTTATCATGGTGAGAGATACACAACACAAAACTTACCATTTTAACCATTTGAAAGTGTACAGTTCAGTGGCATTAAGCACACTCACATTGTTGTGCACCCATCACCACCTCCCATCTCTCAAATTTTCTCATCACCCCCCAACATAAGCTCTGTTCACCTTCAGCAATAACTCCCTACTCCCTCCCACTAGACTCTAGTAACCTCTATTCTATTTTCTGTCTCTCTTTCATTCACCAGCATTTTAAACAAATACCCCAGGTAACTTTGGCAGGGGAGTGGGCATATCCAAGTTTGGGAACCACTGGATCCGATCGTCCCTAAGGTCCCTTTAAAGTTCAGAAAATACTGTTTACTTTATTGAATTAGAAAAGGGGGATATCAGCCGGGCGCAGTGGCTCACGCCTATAATCCCAGCACTTTGGAAGGCTGAGGTGGGTGTATCACTTGAACTCAGGAGTTCGAGACCAGGCTGGCCAACATGGTAAAACCCTGTCTCTACTAAAAATACAAAAATTAGCCGGGTGTGGTGGTACATGCTTGTAGTCCCAGCTACTCGGGAGGCTAAGGCAGGAAAATTGCTTCATCTCGGGAGGCAGAGGTTGCAGTGAGCTGAGATCCTGCTACTGCTCTCCAGCCTGGGTGACAGTGCCAGACTCCACATCAAAAAAAAAAAAAAAAAAAAAAAAAAAGAAAAAAGAAAGAAAGAAAGAAAGAAAAGGAGCTACAGTGAGGTTCAGGCCCCATATTCATTCCAAGCCTGCCTTTTCTGTCAGCCCCACCTGACTTTGCTAGGGGTTTCTTCCTCCTCGTATTCACAGAGCAAAGCCAAAAGGTTCTTTACTCCTGAAGGACACCACCCTTTCTTCCCCCGTGTTGAAGACTGAGCAGACAGCACCTGTTCCCTGGCCCAAGCAGCTGCCTCTTCCCACCTTCTGCCATCTCTCCCTCTGTGGTCGCTCTGCAATTTTCCTGCATAATTCACACTGCCTGGCAGTTTCTGGCCTGGTCCTGGCCATCTAGTGTGAAGTTTATATTTTCCTGCCACCACTTCTGACTCTATTCATTCCCTCGATTTCCAAACAAAACCGCAACATATCTCAGCTTCCAGTGCATCCTTTTATTACCACTGTCTTTTGTGGTTTGGGGATGCTTGCTTGTTGACAGTGAAGGAGAGGATGAACGCAGCTGTATTTTACATCCCTCCAGTAGAGCCTGCCAAGCCAGCCTGAAGGAGATAAATATTTCTGCCTCTGTGGTTTACCATGGCTCGAGTTCTGAATTTACATAGGGAGCGGATGTTCAAAAGGCTTTTTTGCTTTTTTTAAAATTAGGAAAATAAAAATTATAGTGTATAAATCTAAGCCAAGGGAACTGCAGTACTGACCTTCTTAGCTTTCAGCTGTGGAATGTGTTGACAGTTGATATGGTTCATTGGTTCATGGTTGTTTTAAAATTCCTCCCTGGAGCCTCTTCGTTTGTTTCTGTGGGATTCTTAACACTTCAGCAAACTTGTTGCCCTCGCTGTCGTTTTTCATATACAAAAACTAAGGAAATAGGGTGGACTTAGTTAGCACACCTTGTATGTTTCCTTCACTGCTGACTTAAATTCTCCATTTGTGGAGATTATATTTGCTAATGTCAAATTAGGTGACATTTCAGGAATCTGTTTTTCTAACAACAACAATGATAACAACAACTAATATTGAGGAGTGCTTTGTGCCAGACCTTGTTCTGAGTGTTCTACGTGGATTAAGTTGTTTAATGCTCACAACAACCCTATGAGGAGGTGCTATTCTTATTTTCATTTTGGGGCTGAGGAAACAGGCGTAGAAACATAAAGGAATTGTTTTGGAGATATTAAGTGGTGGACAGTGATTCTATGGCACGTAAGACTAGAAAGAGCTGCAGTTTCGTGTCAGATGTCCTGAATTCAAGTTTCACCCATCCTTGGGTTTATCTAATGGAGTAGACAGAGAAGTGAGTGACTGCATGATGGTATTGTAAGGTTGCAATGCATTATAATTACGTTATGGTGTTATTCGGGATCAGGGATGGTTTCCGGAAATAGATGGTACATGAACTGAGATCCTAGAGTGTCCTACAATGTCAGAAGAGCAGCATGTCAGGTATTTGGAATAGAGGCTTGTGTGCAGGCTCACTGGCCCATGTAGGCCACGCAGGTTGCTAAGGTGGTCTGAGGTGGGTGAGGGGCGAGGAGGATGGGCCCGGGGAGCAGTAATGGCAGCAAGGATGCAGCTGGAGGAGCCAGCAAGTCTTGAGGGTCTTCCATGGTTCACTAAGGAGCTTGGACTTTATCAGGAGGCTGTGGGAGCCATGTAAGGATTTTAACCAGAAAAGTGACATAATCTCAATTACATTTTTGAAAGATCCCTCTGGTGGTCTGCAGTTTATTTCCAATTATTCACAATGATAAATAAAACTGCAGCGAATTCCAAATTGCACATCTCTAATTGTCTCATTGGACATATTTTCTGGCGTGGAATTTCTGGGCCAGGGATAAGCATTTAATTTCTACTGTCAAATTTCCTTTTAGAGAGAAATCAGTGCTGGCTTCTCTCGCCAGCAGCAGTACTCCAGCTTGCCTTTTTCCCCATACGTTCATCAAAATCAGGAGATTATCTTTTTTTTTTTAAATGTTATTTTGTAGTTTTTTTTATGGTTCATGTTTTGCACTTAACTTTGATCCATGGGAAATTTACTTTCACATGTAATATGTAATCTCAATCTAACAATTTTTTCCAAGTAATTAACCAACTGCCCCTAGCACTATCTGTTGAGTAAACTACCCACTTTGGTTTTAAAATGACGTCATTGTACAAATAATACTCCAGTGCCAGTACCATATTATTTGAATTACTGTGTCTTTTAAATACTTTTTTCTATTAAACTGTGCAAGTACTCTGTAATTGTTATTCCTTTTAAAAATGTTCTTGATTGTTCTCACCTAACCTTACATAAAACTTTAGAGTTGTATTGTCTGTTTCCAACTTCCCCCCCAAAAAATTGCTTCAGCCGTTTGGCTCAGAACTGCATTTTTTCTAAATTAATTAGGGGAGAATAAACATCTTTCTAATTTTGAGTCTTCCCATTCAGGGGCATGTGGTCTCTCCATTTATTCAGGTTTTTAGGCTTAGAATCCCCTGAGTATTTTATACCTCAGTTTTCCTCATCTGTAAAATCAGGAAAATAATGATATTTATGCATAAGGTCATGGCGAGAATTATATTAAATAATACATGTAATATGCTTAGCATAGTGCCTGGCAGCTAACAGTAAATGTGGTTGAATTCTGGGAAAACTGGTAATTTTAGTATATGTATCTATATATTTATATAGTGCCACACACCACACACACACACACACACACACACACACACACACACACACACACACACACACACAGAGTTATGGGCTACTTTATTGAACTGTTTTGGTTTTTTCCAAAATTTTTCAGTTAATTTTAGTACTTTTCATAGCTATGTCATTTTCAAATATGATAATTTTGTCTATTATGTTTATTCTTTCCTAATATTTATACCTGCTTTTTTGCTCTTCCACTATATTTTCATTTGTATTTTTCTTATCTCATTTTGTTTATTCTTTTACTTTTTACATATCTGAAGTCATTCTGTGTTATTTGTATTATCTGTAGGTTTTAAAATTACCAGCTGGGTGCAGTGGCAGGCACCTGTAGTCCCAGCTATTGGGGAGGCTGAGGTGAGAGGCTCACTTGGTTGAGCCCCAGAGTTCAAGGCTGCATTGAGCCGTGATCACACCACTGCACTCCAGCCTGGGTGACAGAGCAAGACCCTGTCTCTGGGAAAAAAAAAAAAAAAAAAAGAGAGAGTCTATTTTTAAAAGGAAAGTTTAATCCATTTAAATAGATTTTTTATTACTGATAGTTCTGGTCTCCATTTTAAATGTTTCCTTGTTTCTGATGTTTTCCTACATGAGCTATATGAACTTGATTTGTTTTCTATAATAGCAGGAGATTTGTCTACTATAATTTCATTTTTTTAACACACTCAAACCTATATAATTTTTATCATAAACATCTAGAATGGTGCCATTTCTGCTGATTTCTCCAGGTTTAAAATGAATAAATTGGCATTGTTTTGTTGTTGTTGTTGATGATTTTTCACTTTGAGACGGAGTCTCGCTCTGTCACCCAGGCTGGAGTGCAGTGATGTGATCTCAGCTCACTTCAACACCACCTCCCGGCTTCAAGCAATTCTGCCTCAGCCTCCCTAGTAGCTAGAACTGCAGGCATGCACCACCATACCTGGCTAATTTTTTTTTGTATTTTTAGTAGAGACAGCGTTTCACCATGTTGGCCAGGCTGGTCTCAAACTCCTGACCTCAAGTGATCTGCCCACCTTGGCCTCCCAAAGTGCTGGGATTACAGGTGTGAGCCACCACACCCTGCCAGATTTCATTCTTTTTAATGGCTGAATAGTATTCCATTGTGTATATAGGCTATATTTTCTTTATCCATTTATCTGTAGGTGAGAACTTAGGTTGATTTCATATCTTTACTGTTGTGAATAGTGCTTTGATAAACATACAAATGCAGATATATTTTTGATATAATGATTTATTTTCCTATGAGTAAATAGCCAGTAGTGGAATTGCTGGATCAAACGGCAGTTTTATTTTTAAGTCTTTGAGAAATCTCCATGGAGGTTGTCCTAATTTACCTTCCTACTGACAGTGTTTAAGTGTCCCAAGATATGTTTTTCTTTCACTAATACATGCTGCCTTCTTCTCTTGTGCTGAAGAATGATTTTAGCAGTTGGATATTTGTGCTTTGTTTTCTTATTCTGGAATTAGAAAAATAAATTATCTAAAAGAGCATTGTCAAATTGTCTTTGGATTCATATGCTGTCATCCTGGATGATGTTTAAGTGCTTCTGTATCCTCTGATACAGATGAGGCCGTGTACAATAATGCTAGCAGCTGTTGTATACCCTTTGGTTACTTGTCTGTACCTCAGTTTTCTCATCTGTAAAGTGGGCATAATAATATTTCCTGATACGGTTGTTGTTATAAGAAAATGATAGAATTTGTTTGAAGCACTGAAGACAGTGTCTCACAGGAATAAGAATGCAATGAATGTCTGATGTTACTTTTTTATTTTATTGTACTTATTGAGCTTTTAACTCAGACATCATTACATTTAATTCTCACCCAATACCATTAGGTAGGTAATATTATTGTTCTTATTTTACAGAAAATTATTACCTTTGTATTTGAATAACAGTTTTACTGGACATAATATTCATAGGACTCTGATTCTGTCTCTCTCTCAAAACTCTTACTCTATCTTTTCCTGGTTTTGAATGTTGTGTGCATCTGAGGTACCCCTGTCTTTATGTTCCTATAGGAGACTTGCTTTTTGTGCCTAGACACCTAGACAATTCTTTCTTCATGCTCAAAGTTTTGTTAGCCAGGTGTATTCATTTTCCATAGCTGCTAATACCACAAACTTAGCGGTGTAAAACAACACAAATGTATTATCCCACAGTTGAGTGGGTCAGAAGCCCAGTAGATTCAGCTGATGTCTCTGTTCCAGTTACTAGTAGGCCAGGATCAAGGTGTCTGTCAGTCTGAAGTCTTCTTTGGCAAGAGTCTGCTTCCAGGCTCATTTGAATAATTGGCAGAATTCAGTTCCATGCATTTGTAGAACTGAGATCTTCATTTCCTTGCTGACTGTGGGCTGAGAGATTGTTTTCAATTTCTAGAGGCCACCTGCATTCCTTGGCTGATGGTCTCATCCATCTTTGAGCCAGCAACAGTGGGTAAATTCCTGTTACACTTCAAATCCCTCTCGCTTATTAGTCTACTTACATTTCTGACTCTAGCCAGAGTGATATCCTTGTTTTTAAGGATGTCTGTGATTAGATTAAGCCCACCAAAGTAATCTGGGATTATCTTCCCATCTCGAGGTCACACCTGTAAAGTCCCTTTTGCTGTGTATGGTAATGTATTCACACATTCTGGGGATTAGGGCATGGGAGTACTTGCAGGGGTGAGGAGCCATTATTCTGCCTACAATTCTAGGTTTTTATGTTCATCATTTTTATTACTTTTTCCTGGAAGACAGTGTACCTTTTCAGGATGTATTTCAGTCACTTTTTTCATATTTTATTTCTGAGCAGCTTTTCTGTTTCATGCGTTGGAATCTCTACATGAAGAATCCAGTTATCTTCAATATTGGATTACCTAGGTTCTCTTTAACTTAGTCCCTTAAAATTGTGCTTCAGAAAATCAATTTTATAGAGATGTAGTTTACATACAATAAACTGTGTCTATTTAAAGTGCACCATCAATGAGTGGTTTTTTTTCTTTCTTTTTTTGAGGTGGAGTCTCACTGTGTTGCCCAGGCTGGAGTGCAGTGGTGTGATCTCAGCTCACTGCAACCTCTGCCTTCTGGGTTCAAGTGATTCTCCTGCCTCAGCCTCCCGAGTAGCTGGGATTACAGGCATGCACCACCATGCCTGGCTAATTTTTTGTATTTTTAGTAGAGACGGAATCTCAGCATGTTGGCCAGCCTAGTCTTGAACTCCTGACCTCAGGTTATCCACCCACCTCGGCCTCCCAAAGTGCTGGGATTATAGGCATGAGCCACCACGCCCGCTGATGGGTTTTGACAGATGTATGTACCCCTCAAACCCCAGTCCCACTCAAGATCCAGAACATTTCCATCCCTACAAAAGTTTTCTTTGCAGCTTCTCTTTCTCTCTCTCTCAACACTGCATTCACTTCCAAGTCTGGCCTCTGTGTCATTAATTTGATCTTCAGCCATGTTTCTTCTGTTTTTTCCTAGTTATGAATTGTTAGACTTGTGACAATAGTGTTATTATGTTTCACAGTTGGTTTCCATTTTCCCTTTTACTCTGTTGTTTTATCATCTCATCTCGAAACTCTCACATCAGTGAAATGATATTCTTTTTAAGTTCTTCCATGTGCAAAGACGTAGGTAACACAGCCTGTTCCTCTGGTTGTGTTTTGCCCAGACATGGCTCTTTCAATGTATTCCTTTCTTTCTTTAAAAAAAAAAAAATTGGTGAGGGGAGACAAGATTCAGAATTGTATGAACACTATAATATCTTTAATTTAAATAAAAAATAATACATAGAAGGAAATCATGCTGGATTCTGTGTAATTATTTTTTAGTTGCCGTGGGTTTTTTTTTTTTTTTAACCTTTAAGTCACTTCTTGTTACTTTGGACAGAACTAACATTTACTTTTTAACAGGACTTTTAAAAAGATCGTTGAAAACCAACTTGAAATATACAGAAAAACTAGGAGGACATTGAGTATAACCATTATTTGCCCTGCTGGGAGTTTAGGTGAACCTTTTTTTTTTTTTTTTTGAGATGGAGTCTCACTCTGTTACCCAGGCTGGAGTGCAGTGGCACAATCTTGGCTCACTGCAACCTCCACCTCCTTGGTTCAGGCGATTCTCCTGCCTCAGCCTCCCAAGTAGCTGGGATTACAGGCATGCACCACCATGACTGGCTAATTTTTTTTTTTTTTTTTAAGTAGAGACGGAGTTTCGCCATGTTGGCCAGGCTAGTCTCGAACTCCTGACCTCAGGTGATTCGCCCGCCTCAGCCTCCCAAAGTGCTGGGATTACCGGCGTGAGCCACCACGCCTGGCCAAGGTGAACTTTCTTACCTCATCTCCTCTCGAGATTCTCAATCACCAAGATACAGAAGTCCAATTTGAATGAAAATATCTACTTCCCATTAAAACAAAATCCCAATTTTTAATTTTTTATTACCAAGGAGAAAAGAGAGAAAAAATTAATGACCATAAGGTAAAATATGCACATGCTTAGAAACTTTAAACCTTTTAAAAATATAAAGTAAAAACCTCCCTCTTTACACACTCTAGTTCCTGACACTTTCAATTGCTTCCAGAAGAGAGAAATTATACATAAACCAGCATACATACAAACATGCTACATATGGGGCAGTTCATGTACTACGATCTCTTTTTTCTAAAATCAAAAAATAGTATATAGGTATATATAGATAGTGTATGTTATAGACTGTGTGTATGTAGCATATATGTATAATGTATTTATTTCATTTAACAGTCTTCAAGAGAAGACTGTTATCAGTTCATACCTAAACCTATGTCCTTTTAAATGACTACATATTATTACACTGTCGGGATTTCTCGTCTTTAACCAGTCTCCTTCCCAATTCTACCATGAGAGTAGCAGAGAAAGAAAAGACACATCAAATATTAACTCCAGCATTGCCCCATCCTGGGGAGTTGAGCAAGCCCTCACATGGAATCTGAGAATTAGAGAGAAGGGTTCCCCACTAACAATTTTCAACACAATGAACAACATGTTTTGTGTTGATTGATGTTTCTTTGCAGGACACGTATATAGTAATGGCATTTCATTCTGCTGATTGGGGGTGTGCTTTTTTGGACAACTATATTTAAGTCTTGCCTGGGGAAAGAAGGTTGGATGACTCTGTGAGAACCTTACAACCCTGTCTTTCTGAGGTTAGAAATATTAAGCTTTGGAACTGCATCTTAAACAAACATCTTAGCAGTGTTTTCTGAAGTCATTTAGTAGAACATAATCCCACGGACAAGGGTCTATATTCACTTAAGTTTATGAAATGATGCACGTAATATTTCTCTCTTAAGCATTTGTAGTTTGCATTTATATTTCATAGTCTTTGGAAAAGTTTTGCAGTGAATAAATCTGTTGAACATTATCGAGCCCTGAGTTTTCAAAACTTATTCTATTACTGAACTCTTTCTCCTCTATCACTTATTAATATCTCAAGATACAAAGTGTTTTTTCAGAGTATCTTAAATATATCTGTCCCTACGGAATCTGGTTTTCAAAATTCTGTGCAGGGGTCCAGTAAAGGACCAGATAGTAAATGTTTTAGGCATTGTAGGCCAAATGGTTTCTATTGCAAATATTCAGTTCTGTTGTAGCACAAAAGCCATAGACAATAGGTGGAAAAATGAGTGTGGTTATATTCCAGTAAAACTTTAGTTATGCACGGTAAAATTTAATTTTATGTAATTTTCACATGTCACAAAATATCTTTTTTTCTGCCAACCATTTAAAAACATAAAAATGATTCTCAGCTGGTAGGTTGTACCAAAGATAGGTGGGCCAGATTTGACCTGCTAGTCATAGTTTGATGACCTTTGATTTAGTAGATAATAATCCGGAATAAGAATTAAATGCTTTGTTCAGCAAGATTGTGCAATATTTCTTTTGTTTTGAAGAAGATCCAGAAGCTTCGTGCACTTGTGTATTAAACATAAAAGAATATTAAGGCTTCATCCACTCTGTAGAAAGTATTTAAGATACCCTAAAATTTAGCTCCTAAACTTGAGACAGTTTAATACTACTCTGCCCATTACAGAGGATAAGCTCAATACTAATTTACTGAATAAATATTGGTGAAAATCTCCATATTATAAAATAAATTAGATTAGAAATGATCTCCATATGATGGTTTATTTATTACTAAATCTTAAAGAAAACCTTTATAATTTTGCAAAGGCCATAGCACAGATTCGAATTATGAAATGGATGTAAAAGTAGAATATAGTTTAGTGAATTACTCTTTCTGTTGCTAGTAAGATTTGAATGTTTGTTAACTGCATTACTGACCATCAACAAAAGTATAAAATTCCAAATGTGTGGAATTCCACCGAGTGAAGCTGGTTATTTTTGCCTTCGTTGAATGTGTCACTCCTCCTTTTCTGGCCTATATTTAATGACCCTCAGTGTCCTTTTCTGGTGGCTTCCTGGTTTTCCCTAGGTTCATTCCAGAACCCTGGTCAGCCTGCAGTACCACGTGTGGGCCGGGTGTGCAGGTCCGTGAGGTGAAGTGCCGTGTGCTCCTCACATTCACGCAGACTGAGACTGAGCTGCCCGAGGAAGAGTGTGAAGGCCCCAAGCTGCCCACCGAACGGCCCTGCCTCCTGGAAGCATGTGATGAGAGCCCGGCCTCCCGAGAGCTAGACATCCCTCTCCCTGAGGACAGTGAGACGACTTACGACTGGGAGTACGCTGGGTTCACCCCTTGCACAGCAACATGCGTGGGAGGTATTTGAACCTTTGCTTAAGGGACAGTTATGTTGTGTGTTGCTAGTGGTTTGAGAAATTACTCAATCAGGTAAGCCAAATATGCAAATTAGCAAAAGTCTAAAGGAGGTGAAGTCATTCAAATAACTGAAAATGATACTTTTTCTTCTTTTTCTTTCTTTTTTTTTTGTAGTGATTATTTTAGAAAGGAGAGTGGGACTATATACTAACCAAAAAAAGTATATTTGTTTGCCTGAGAATCTGCATGACTGAGATGGTTCATATGAAATAAATAGGAAAATGCAGAATGGATAAGTTAAGGCAATCTTGTTCATAAAGCAGTCTTATAGATTGAGGTAGCCTGGAATTGCAATATCTGATGCAACTCTAGATCAGAGTTTGTCCTCAGAAAATATTTGGGTTCATATCCGCACATTGGGCCAGCACCTAGGGGAACAAACTAATCACCATGATTTATGTTTGTGTACATAGAGGGTGACATACACAGCCAGGAAACCCTGTTAGGATTAGAAAGTGGTTGTATAGCCAGGTGACCCCTTTGGGGTGAGAAGTTGGCCCCCTGATGATTTATACAATCTAGGATCCAAAAGGGAGTGAAGGAGTGGTTAACAGGAGTCCAGAGAGCCACTCTTGAGGGCTCTGTTGAAAGTAAAAAGATAGAAATAACAAATAAGAAAACTATATCTTTTACTTACATGAAGGAGACTGGGTCTGACCAGGAATCCAGAGCCCCTGTCACCCCGTCCCCTCATCCTTTGACCCCTGACTGTGCCTTCCAGCCAGCTGCTATGTAAAGAGCTTGGTGCCTGAATGTGCTCTGCTCTTGATCCAGCCAATGGTGGGAAAAACACAAGGAGATGCTGTCTTAGAGCTCTTGGCTCAAGATCATGCTTTACTCCTCCCAACAGTCTTGAGCCCATTACTTGAAACTCCCTATCAAGTTGTGGAGCTCATGGCCCATTCATTGTGCCTGAACCCCTCACTCTTGAGCCTGAATTCTCAATCCTTATCATTCAGTCTCTATGGCTTGATTGTATCTGTTTTTCTCTTTCCTGTCTAATTCAACTTCTATACCTGCGTATCCTTGCCACTTTTTGTATAACATTGCTAGCCTGGCAGTAAACCCGGCTAAAGTGGCATGTGCCTTACCCCCAGGCTGCCCCTAAACTACTGCCTTGCGGACAGAGTTGCACATGTGGACTTTAGGTGCCTTAGCTGCCTCTGGACTCTTTCTCCCCTTACTTGCTTCTGTCTGGTTGCTAAAAGTCCATGCCATCTAGCTAGGAATTTAGCCTCTCTGGTTTAGTTGAACCTTAAACATCTGCTGCATCTCTTCCCTCCACAGCACATTGTCTGGGTTGCCCCCCACACTGCCTTGTGTCTGTTCTTGCCCAAGCCAAACTCCTGCCTGCTCTTGAGTTCAGAACCCTGGACACGTTTTTGTTTGTTTGTTGTTTTTTGTTTGTTTGGTTTTGTTTGTTTGTTTGTTTGTTTGTTTTTTGTTTTTTGTGGGTTTTTTTATGTCTTGGAAACCTTAACTCTAACATGCCCTTGGCAATTTGGGAACTGGTGCTTTCTCTTGATGAGTTTGGGGAAACCCTCTAGAGATAGCCACGGAGATGCAAAGATGGTCCCCTATTCAGTCACAATAATACATGCCTGGAACTTCCTACTGTATGTCTACAAAATGCCAGCTGTCTCCATTGCTTCTGAGTCACCACATTGCTGCAGTCTCACTAGAGACTTGGAGCTGTGTCTTTCATTAGGAGAGCAGAAGCAAGCCCAGCTGTTGCTTGCACACCCCAACATCTACCTTGTAATCTCAAGCTTTTAGGTGCTGTTGGTAGAATCCCTGTTTCATCTTCTTCTCCTGACTGGCAAGATCCCCTCAAGTTGGGAAAGCATAGCATGCTGGGTACTTGGAACTCAGCAGACCAATCAGAGTTGCTCAAAGAGAGATGACCAGGTGAATTCTAATTCAGCTGAGAGAGACTGCTGTCAGAGCTCATTTTTGGAGCCTTTTACTAAAATACTAGAATCTACCTTGTGTTCTCAGTACCCACTGAGATGGCCCTAGATTCCACCTCTAGGATGGCTGAACTCATGTGATAAATTCCTCTTTTGTTTTTTTTCAGTAACAGCTTTATCGAGATAGAATGCGCACACTGTACAATTTATGCATTTAAAGTATACAATGTAGTGGTTTCTAGTTACAAAGTTGTGCAGCCGTTAACATAATCAATTTCAGAACACTTGCCCAAAGAAACACTGTGTCCTTAAGCAATCATACCCCATTTTCCCTCAAATTCTAACCCCTGGAAACCACTACTGTCTATTATGGACGTTGCATGTAATGGGATTATGTAATATGTGGTCCTCTGTGACTGCGATCTTTCACTTAGCGTAGTGTTTTCAAGGTTCATCTGTGTTTTAGCATGTTTCAGTACTTCATTCCTTTTTATGGCCAAGTGGTATTCCATTATATGGATATACAACATTTTACCCATTCATCGGCTGATAGAAATTTGAGTTGTTTGCATGTTTAGGGTATTGAGAATAGTGCTGCTGTGAACGTTCATGTATATGATTTTATATGGACATATGTTTTTATTTATCTTGGTTATATACCTTGGAGTAGATAGAATTACCTTTGAATCCATTTAAAACATACAAGTTTTTTGACACTTGACTAATTGAGGTTGATTATCCTTAGTGGCACTGCGCACCTTTTGCCCTGCTATGAGAAGAGAAACTGCCTTGCATCTGTCAGAAATGCAATGCAGTATTCAGGTGGGTGATGTTAAGGTGCCCATTTGCTTTATGATATACTCTTGTGTATCAGGAACACATTTTACAAATTTTAGAAAAGCTCAAGTTGGTAGCCTTTTACTACTCAGGTAAGCAGCAATTTAGCCTTATAAGGGTATATTTTATCATTTAATCCTGTAATAATATTATTGAAATGAGCCTTGGACACCTACTAACCCAAATTTTATAGTTGAGGAAGCTGAGACTCAGAGTCCATCATAAAGCCAAAAATAGAAAATGAATAACTTGATTCTCATTACTTAGCTGAACTATAAGTACATGTAATAAGCTTCTTAGCTTTACAAAAAGTAATATTTTTAATTTCTTGGGTTAAAAAGTAAATTTTTAATTTCTTGGGTTAAAAAAGTTATTTTTAATTAACTTGAGATTAAAGTTCCTTATAATAAATAACCAAAGCCTATGAAACTGAAGAGCTAAGGCAAAAACCAAAATCCTTTATAAAGGCTGGGATGGAAATTGTGGGTGAGGTGACTCATGCCTGTAATTCCAGACCTTTGGGAGGCTGAGGCAGGAGGATCTCTTGAGGCCAGGAGTTGGAGATCAATCTGGGCAACATAGCAAGACCCAGTCTTTAGAAAAAAAATAAAATAAAGGCTGGAAATTGGGTACCTGCTCTGTGTTAGACTCCATGGTTCTTCACCAAGTTCTGCACTAAATCTTCAGGGATATAAAATAAATAGAACATATTCTTTGCCTTGATGGAGCACAGCTTTTGGTTGTTTTGGTTTGACTGTCCCAACCACACTGCTTATAGTCAGTGGTACTTGCCTCTGTGATCTATTTCAACGTGGTTCAGTAAGTTCAGCTTCCATAAGTCCACTAATGTGTGAGTTATGAATGTGGGCTTTTAGCCTTCACCCTGGATAGCAGAGAGGATAAGTCTGCAATGACTGACAACCACAATAAAATGAAATTTACACAGGCATATATTTATTTCTTCAACATTCTTATTTCTGCTGGAAAAGTAATATACAAATTACAAGTTTCTGAAAAGATAAATTTTGGTCACATTCTGATATTCTGTATACTTATATTTTCTAACCTATCTTCACATCATACAGGAAATAAGAATAAATCCATTTGTTGTAATTACTGATGCTTAAGATCCTTGCATAGGTCTCTTTTCACATTGGAGTAGCAACAGAGAATTCTTTTTTAATTCCTAAAAGCATGAAGAATCCAGACACCAATCTCCAGCTTCCAAAGTGTGTGTATGTATGTATGTATGTATGTATGTATGTATGTATGTATATGTATGTATGCATGTACTCATGCAGCAGTATCTGTGTGTGTAGATACATCATGTGTGTGCACACACATACTCATGTACATCCTGGAAGATATGCCTACCTTTTTAGTACCCTCTGGTAAGGTTTTATAATTTATTACATCATAAACATTCCTTACCGAAGTTCTTCTTTTATATTTTATATTGTTTGTTGTTTTTATGACCTCATTTTTTTACCTTTATGTTTTCCAACAACACAGGCTAGGAGTATATATATGGACATTTGAGACCTGACCCCTTTATGAACCCCAGCTCTGCAACTCTCTTTGTTTCATTTGTTTAAATTTGTAGAGTTGTGGTTTATTTTGCTAAAATGATAGGAGTCATACCTACCTCATTAGGCTTAATGAAATAATTAAATGTGATTATTAAATAAGGTGATGTTCAAAGAGTGTTTAATCACAGTGTGTGGTACACTGTATTAATAAATGTTAGTGGGATGACTATTTTATAATATAATAATAGAGCATTCCTCTTATATTGGAATGCTATTGATTATTTCTCTTTTTAAAAATCTGACTAAATTGTTGAACACCTTAATACTTCTAATCATTTTTCAGCTTATTTTTATGAGTTTTCTAAGTAAATGATCATCTGCTATTAATGGTGATTTTATCTTTCCCTTTCCAATAGTTATTTAAGTTTCACATTTTATTGGCTTGTCTAGAATTCCAGGAACAATTGTAAATAATGTGGATAATGCCAACCTTGTTTTGGTCCTGGCAGTAGTAGAAATCTCTTTATTGTTTCATTTTAAAACAATGTTCTACAAATATTTATTGTATGTTTCTATGTGCCAGGCACTGGCCTAGGTGATAGTGACTCAGTAGTTCCTAGCTTTGGAACTGAACTCTAATAGGAAAAATGCATTCATCACATAATCATACTCACACATATATAGAATTACCACTGGTTACAGCAATTGCAAAAGAAGTATATGGTGCTATGAAAAGGGGCATTTGACCTAATTACACTTGAATTTAAATCTAAAAGGTGAGGCATTAGCTAAACAAAAGGGGGTTTGGAGGGGGTGGCACACGGATAATTTCCAGCAGAAAGAGCATATGCAAAGGCCAGCAGAAGGGTGCATGGTACATTCCAGGAATGGAAGAAGCCAGGCACAGTTGGAGTACTGAGAATGAGACAGGGTTTAGTGTGGCATGCTGCTAGACAGGAAGGCAGAGGCCAGACAATTATGGCCTTACAGGCTATGTTGATTTGAGTCTATCCCAAGATCAATGGGAAGTCATTCAAGTAATTAAAGTGGGAGTTATGTGACCAAATTTTTATTTATTTCAAAAAGGTTAGTCCAGCTGTATTGTAGAGAATGGATTGGAAAGGATAAGGATGTTGTGAGAGCGATCACATAGGAAGCTATTGCCTATTCCAGACAAGAGCTTAGACCGGAATGGTGACCATGGTAGAGATGGAGTATGGTGGATGACTTTGAGAGACATGTAGGAGATAAAAGGATCTGTCAGTGGAGTGGGTAAGCAGGAGTGTGATGGCAAGTCTGAGTCCTAAGACTATTTTCTGAGCTGGTGAATGCTAAATGTTGGTGAGGGAACCCATGAGTTCATTTGTGAACATAATGCTTTTAAGATGCCTCTCGACTTCCAAGTGGAGATGCTAAGTAGTCAGTTGGATGTGTGAGTCTGAAGTGAAGAGGAGCGGTCTGAACTGGAATGGTACATTTATGCATCATCTGTGCATCCAAGGATTGAAGCCAGGGGCATGGACAAGAATTTTCAGGAGAATACCTATGAGGAGTGCAGAGGGTCTAGGACTTAAGTCTTGAGGAAATTCAACATTCAGTGTCTGGGTGGAGGACACTAAGCCGCAAAAGTCTATGAGAAGAGATCAGCGAGATATGATAAAAACAGAAGTCTGTGGTGTGGTGGAAACCAAGGTCAGCTGTGTTGCTTGCCATGCAGAGGCGGAGAGGTGAGGGTTCAGCACTGGTACTGGGTTCAGGAATGTGAAGCCACTGGGGACTTAAGGAAAGGTCATTTCAGTGGAGGAGCAGAGATGGAAACCAGATTTGAAAGGGTTGAGGAAAGAATGATAAGTGACAGAGTGGAGATGAATAGAGGGGATTTTTTTTGCAGCATAAATTGGCCATGTTAAAGAAAACAGAGGAGGAGATGACTAAGATGGCCTTGCGGGTTGAGGCAGATCTGTGTGGGTGTGGGTGAAGGGTGGTGTTAATGTCAGAGACCCTTGGGTACATTTAAAAGGCAACAAGAAAGCTCTAGAATGAAAGTGAAAGGCAAAGCAATAAGTTTTCTAAGAAGATTGAAGGGGGTGAAACTCCAAGCACAGTCGTGGAGATTGGTCTTAAATCATTGGAAGGGCAGCTTCTAATTGTAATAAGCAGGGAAAAGGCTAGTGAGGATATGAGAGTAGGTAGGTTTGTATGCTTATAAAAGGAAGTTCCCATCTGGTTGTTTCTGTGCTTTTGTGCATATGAATATTTGCTGAAAGTGATTGGTAGGTGAATGACAGATGTTTGAGGTAATGAGGTAATTTTATTATATACTGCTGATTATAATATGCTATTATTTAATTTAAGATATATATATGTATGTATGAATGATACTGATGCATGTAAATGCACTCTATTTTGCATAGTGGAGTACAAGAATTCCTTTCTACAAATGGTAACGTGGGAACAAAGATTGCATTGGCCCACTATGGGCTCATTTGAGCATACTCCCAATAGAGATGTGTTCCCGACATGGTACATTAGCAACTGCCGTTTTGTTTTCTCCAAATCCCTTCAAATCATGACAGGCCTCGAGCTGTAGTTTCTTCCAGCTCCTCTTGACATAATTGGTCACTTCCGCTCAGGCTCCAGTGGTTTATGATGCCCTTCCTAAGGCCAAATGGCTTTCAACAATCCTTAATCTTTAGCAGCTGTCTCCTCAATTGGTTCCTAAAAAGAACTCACCTATTTGAAGTGCTACAAAACTTGCATTTTAACACCAAACAGGATACCTTTGGATCCATAAAATATTATGCTTCACTCTTTTTCATTACTCGGGACTTTACAGTAGTACCCCTTCAGTCAAACTAGCTAACAGCAGAAAGAGAAAAAAATTAACTGTTCTTTCCAAATATGATCCTAGGCCTGTGTGTATGTGTGTATTTTGGAAACAAAGAACATCGTTATATATAATATAGCATTATACGTGCCCACACTGTATGAAGCAGACCTCTTTTTTCCTCGTATAGGTTTAGGTATCATCAGGTTTTGGTAGTTTTGTGAGATGAACTGGCATTTTCTATACCTTTAAATAATTTTAAATAGTTTATATCATAGAAATCATCTGTTTAAAATGTTTGAAAGTGCTAGTTCCTACAACTCTCTAAATCTTGTCCTGTTTTTGGGATTGAGGGGGAGCATCATGGCTCCATCTTTAACATTATTTTCAAGTTTCCCCCCACTTATTGTTATATTCAATCCAAGTTCTTATAATAATTTTTAAATAAATTACATAATTTAGATTCACTTGGGACAAAAACTATCCATTTCATGAGGATACTGAAATTTATTTTCTAGAGTTGTTCATCGAGTCTGAAGTGGCTGTAAGCCTCCCTGTTCTCCCTTTTCCTGCCACAAATAATGTGTAATCTATTTACTCTTTGGCCTAGGACTTTATACAAATTCTAGTGTGTGGAGTTGGGGAGTTCAATTGTTTATTATTCACTTATGTTGGACTATATTATAGTCCGAGAATGTTACCTGCATAATTTATGACTTTTGAAACTTACTGCAGTTTCCTAGACTAATAGAGGATCCGTTTTTGTTAATGTTCCACGGATGCTTCAAGAAAGCATAGTGTATCTATTTCTAGGGCCCAAGACTACTTGATTTTTAAAGCAACATAATTTTCTTACACAAATTATTTTTCCTTATTTATTTTACAACTTGGCATATTAAATACTGATTGGCACATAAAAGGCTCTGACTATGGATTTTAAAAAATCTCTCCTGGTATTCTTACACTATGTGTGTATGTGTGTGTTATGTTATTTGACATATTGAAGTAGTCAAGACTGTTGTTTGCAAATGGCAGAAACCCAACCAAGCAAAAAGAACATGTCAGCTTATATATTGGCTCTGCTGCTTCTCTTGGAGTCTGTGTTTTTACCCTTTAAATATTAATTTATTTCTTGATGAAGGATAAAAAATATGTATGTATTTTGAGACAGAGTCTTTCTCTGTGCCCAGGCTGGACTGCACTGGTACAATCATAGCTTGCTGCAGCCCCAGCCTCCTGGGCTGAAGTGATCCTCTCACCCCAGCCCCCCGAGTAGCTGGGACTATAGGCACACCCACCACACCCAGCTAATTTTTGTATTTTTTTTTTAGAGATGGGGTCTCACTATGTTGCCACAAGCTATATAGGTTTTTCTTTTTCTAAAAAAAAAGGCACTTTCATGATAACACTGCAAAAGTCATATGTGAAGTAAGGGATGTTGCCTCATGCTACAAAAGGAATTTATTCAAAAAATGATGCTGACGTTTCAACACTTGATGTATTATGTCCTAAATTCATAGTTGTAATTATTACCTAAATTTTGTTATAAGATGAGGTAAACTTATTTTTATAATTTTTCCTTTTTTAACTTTAATTTTTGAAAGTAAATGCTTAATCAGATCTTTTAAGGTGAGAAGTGTCTAAGTAACATTGTAGGACCAATGTATGGGATGGGAGATATTTTGTGGCCATTTTTCAAAATATACTCTACCTCAATAAGTATCCTAAACACCTATTAAACTTATAAATTATTTTCAGTAAACTTGCTTTAAGACAGAAAAGTGTGTCATGAGTGTTGTACAATTCCACCCAGAATGGGTTATAATGGGGCTTTAAGGCCCACTTATTCAGAAAATGTTCCAAAATAGTCTCTGTAATAAAAATTTCTAGAGAATTTCTGTTATAAATTAAAATATATTTGAAAGTTAACTGGATTTTTCTCAGATTTAAAAAAAATGAAACATACTAGAAAATGAACACTTAAACCTCTACAAGGTAACTACGTTTTGATATTTGCAAATAAAACCTAGAGTTATTAAGTTGTAGCAATGCCTTCTTATATCTCACGTTAGCCAATGTTTATTTTAAAAGTTCATAGAAGATACATGCAGATTTAATACTGCATCCTGCCATGGCAGGGAACATAAAATTACAACTGAAGACAGCAGGAGAAAATTTATTAGAAAGAACTGAACATCACAAATATATATTTTAGAAGTATTTTTGGCCAATACTACATCCTGTAAAATACTGTAAAATGGTTGAATTGAAACATGGCATTTGAAAAAAGAACCACAACCTAGTAACATAATGGAACACACATTCTTGCATGAAAATGAATGCATTTGCATATTTCAAATAACATAGTCAGTTGCTATTACAGTTTGTTTGTGACTTTTTAATCAAAAGTTTGATTTACATCTTGTTCCGTCTGATTTTCCAATAATTTTTTTTGTCCCAGCGGACAAAGAATACTGGTTGAGAACATAGGCTTTGGGGTCAGACAGACCTGTCTGGCCCCAAAGGGAAAATATGCTTGTGAAATTTCATATTTTCACAAGGAGCAGTCTTGTACTTTTTGGCTGTATTGCATTTTAGAATCCCTAGAGTATGTACAAAAGAAAGATCACTGAATTAGGAGGCAGGGAATTTAATTTTTAGGCTTGAATCTACCACATTTTTGCTGTCTTAGTTTCTCTCTAGACCTCAGTTTCCTTAGTATTAAATTAATAAAATGGAGGTAATAATACTATTCTTTTGACCTCACTGATTATTGTGAAAGCACTTTGTACACTTTCCAAATAGGAGGTATTGTTATTGTTTTTCCTAGCAATAGAAACGTTACAAATTACAGTCATAGTGAACAGGAACTCAAATCATAATTAAAATTTTGAGGAGTTGTGTGTCTGCCAGATTTAGCACATATGCAGTGATATAGAGAAAGTGTTATTCTTATGAAGCTGATTCAAAAATTCCTCTTAAGGAAACTATTGTGACTGTTTGGAAGGAACACCTTGATGGCTTATTTGGGGGAACTCCTAGCTTTGAGTACATTTGGAATGCAGATAAGTCCAAGGGTGGATGGGGAGTTGGGATGCTCTTGAATGTTTCAAGGTAAGTAGATTTGGGAGAGAGGGAGTAAAGGGACTGAATTTAAAAGGTGAATAAGGGAATATCATAAACTAGGAGACTTTGGATAATGCAAAGTTGTTTGTTCCCAGGTGTACCCTGAAATGCAGCCTGCAGCCCTATGATAGTCAAAAGGGCAGTATGCTAAGAATGAGAAGACCTAAGACTCTATTTTCTTTTTTCCACAATAAATTATTCCATGTCATTTGCATTTTTTCCTCTTTCTAACCTGCAGGCCATCAAGAAGCCATAGCAGTGTGCTTACATATCCAGACCCAGCAGACAGTCAATGACAGCTTGTGTGATATGGTCCACCGTCCTCCAGCCATGAGCCAGGCCTGTAACACAGAGCCCTGTCCCCCCAGGTATGTGCTGTCTTGTGTTCCTGGTATATACCGTGTCCGGGTGGTAACACCCTCCCTGCAGAGAAACCCACCTAAGTGCAGACTTGTGGCTTCACCCAAGGTAGATGTGCTAAGCCTGCTTCAGAGCTCTCTTTGCTCAAGTTATGCTCCAGCCAGATTCTTGCCTAGGTGCTCAGATGCAGCCATGTTGCACAGGAATGCTCTTCAGGCTGACTTTTGTTTGCATCGAACACGAATGAACATAAACTGGCCTGCTACCCATAAAACCATGAGATCAGTGGATTTGTTCTCTTTCTCCTCCCTGTTTCCTCCAGGGCACTTCTTCCCTTAATATCCCATCAGAAAGCACAGGATTTGCATTAGAGTTAACATTGGTACACAGTAGGTGCTTAATCCATATTTGTTGAGTGACTGTGTAATCTCCTGTTTGATATCTAGCACTCATACTGATGTGTTATTACCTTCCCATTGACTTGCCTTGGATCTCAGATTGTGGGGTATAATATTATAAACCCCAATGAGTAGGTGAGGGTGATCTTCTTGATCTCTTTGGCTGATAGGTTTACCTTAAAAGTTAATCTGCTTCCTTGCTTAAGTCCTGGTAAGATCCTGAGGAATTTTATCAGAAGAGAAGTAGCTTGTTCTCATGTTCCTGTGTCCCTGGTGCTGCTGGCTACAGAGGGTGATAACTGAACATCATTGGTTTCTCACACAAGACCTTTCTGAATATAGCCCCCAGTCTTTTCCTTTCTCTCTCCTTTACCCTTATTATCTTGTGACCCCTCTTCTGCGAGAAGAATTAGTTGCCGAAAATGTTAAGCCCATTCCCAGTAACCTCCTGCCTCTCCTACCTCTTAGTCGTTTGCCCCGCTAATGAAATCCTTTCATTTGCTAAAGCAAGTTCTGCTATGTTTAGGACTCTCAGTGATTGAGGGAGGTTATTGTGTCCTCCTGCCGTATTAGTCTAAGGATAAGTGTCTTTTATGTTTATTCAGAAAATAAGTTGTGCTTCTGGAATTCTCTTGACCCTTCTGATTTTAATTCCATGCAATCTGTTGGCTATGATGTTTCTCCTGCCTTGATTGCATAAGGGTGGTGAAGGTGGGGATTGATACGTTAGGTCCCCCTAGAAATCAGGCCCTCCACATCCTGGAGATGGGCACCCCTTCCTTGAGAGTCTTGTTCTCCAGCCCGCACAGTCTCAGGAGGAGGCCAGTGTGTGCCTCATCCTTGGTGAAATCACACCCGCCATGTAATGTAGGATACAGTGTTTTGTATCCATTACCATATTTCTCGCTTCCATTGAGACCTACAGAAGTACTGGGAGCTTGTTGGCTTATGTTAGAGCCATCTGGCTGTGCGTGGTTGAGGTGATGCAGTAGAGGCCTGTAGACTTACCTTGGTGAGCAAAGCAAGGCCCAGAAACAGCACTGGGAAATCTGTTTCCCTGCCACCTCCCACTCCCACCCCCAGGTTTACAGCATTCCAGAGTAATCCACGCTAGAATGCAGATTGCAGAAGAGACAATAAAGGAGGGGTTTTAGGAAGGTTTGATGTAACTAGGAGTCAAGACATCTACTTTGTCAAGTATGTCCAGACTTTTCCAAGAATAGCAAATATATTGGAGCAGTGTTGAATATATATTCACTTGGAATGACCCTTCTATCTTTAGAGAAATAGCACTTGTGTAATGGCACGTAGTAATCCGAATTATTTATCTATGTTTCTCAGTTTTTTCTGTTCTATTATTGGAACCACTGAATTAGATACTTTTGGAAAAGCTGGGGTTTCTGTTTTCCTCCCCTGCTACATCCCTTCCCTGAGGCAGTGAAGATGGAAACAGATGACCACCTTCCTGTACAGGAGCAAGGCACAGGGGAAAATACAGGGAGGGGGCAAAACATAGTTATATTTCTCAACATATTTCCCCATGACATTGGAATCATGTACTATATCATTTTGTAAACTGTTTTCTTAAATTTAATCTGGGGATGGGGCACGAGGTAGATGTTAAATAAACAGCGTCTCAAGAGCACGAATACTATGAGGACCTAAAATAAATTGGTGGGGCAGGGAAGCCGGGGAGGTTGGTGCAGGTCATTCCTGAGGAAGTTATTTAAGACATAAACACAGGCAGGAATCTGCCAGGAGAGGTGTAGAGGAATGAGTGCTCTGGGCAGAGGGAACAGTATGTGCAAAGGCCCCAAGGAAAGAAAGAGCTCAGTATGCTCAAGGAACTGGAGAGAAAGGAAATCAGTGTGTCATCAGATGAGATAGGAATGGGCAAGGGCCACGGTAAGCACTTGGACTTCATCCAGAGAGTCAGTGGGAAGTCATTGGAGGGTTTGAGCAATGAAGTGGTACATCAGATTTACATTTTAAAAAGATTACTCAAACACAGAAATGGGGAGAACAAAATGGAGACAATTAGATCAAGTATAAATCTTTTAAGAAAATTATTTAAAACTAGGGATCCAGCCCACCACAATTTCATTTGAGCATCCTCGATTTAAAGCCTGCCTCCATGTGAATCTGCAAATATCATCGTTTCCTTTTTATTGTTTATATGACACTAACAACTTTTTTTTTTTTTTTTTGAGACGGAGTTTCGCTCTTGTTGCCCAGGCTGGAGTGCAATGGCACAATCTTATGGCTCGCTGCAACTTCCACCTCCTGGGTTCAAGCGATTCTCCTGCCTCAGCCTCCTGAGTAGCTGGGGTCACAGGTGCCTGCCACCATGCCCAGATAATTTTTTGTATTTTTAGTAGAGATGGGGTTTCACCATGTTGGCTAGGCTGGTCTCAAACTCCTGACCTCAGGTGATCCACCTGCCTCGGCCTCCCAAAATGTTGGGATTACAGGCATAAGCCACCGCACCTGGCCACCAACAACATTCTTTATCAAAATAGTTGAATCCCTTTCTATATTTGTAGCCATGAATATCAGTTCACCTCTACTGTCTTTTCCAAAAATGCTCAGTGTCTCCTTCAGAAATACTGCTTTCCCAACCATGGCCCCCATGCTCCAGTATTTTGCAGAGCAGTTTTAAGAGTTCTACAATCCATAAATCCTTTTCTTTCTTTCTTTCTTTTTTTTTTTTTGAGACGGAGTCTCACTCTGTTGCCCAGGCTGGAGTGCAATGGCACAGTCTCGGCCCACTGCAGCCTCTGCCTCCTGGGTTCAAGTGATTCTCCTGCCTGAGCTTCCTGAGTAGCTGAGACTACAGGCATATGCCACCACACCCAGCTAATTTTTGTATTTTTCGTAGAGATGGGATTTTGCCATGTTGGCCAGGCCGATCTCAAACTGACCTCGAGTGATCCGCCCACCTCAGCCTCCCAAAGTGCTGGGATTACAGACGTGAGCCACCGCACCTGGCCCATGAATCCTTTTCTATGTACTGTTTTATTTAAAACAATGGATGAACCTGTTCACAACTTACACCTGCACTGTATCAGGTGTTTTGCTGTGCAACAATTTGAAAATCACTGCCCTAAGTCTCTTTTTGGTGAAAAGTAGCTAGTACTATTCTTATTAATGGCTTCACATTCTTTCAGAAATGTGCTAATAAATATATAATGAATAAAGGCTCTTGTTTTCTGTATATGAAAACTGAAATTTAGGATTTTTAGGTAATTGATGACTTCTCCATGAGCATACACTAAATAAATTGCATACTACAACATAAAGCCCAAACATGGAGTATTTCTCATGAGATGTCATCTAGTCCAAATTCTGCCTTTTCTGGATGGCCAAATGGAGGCTGTGGGAGCCCACATATTATGCTACTAGTAGAGCTGGTCTCCTGATTTCCAGTCCCTCCACTAGCCATCCCCTTTGTCTACTCTAGCCAGTACTCTCTTTCTAGAAAGATGACTAAAAAAAAATGGTTTCGAATTTACACAGACTTAAAATTGTGACTACAATTTGGCTGTGTGATTTTTTTTTTTTCTTTTTTTTGAGATAGGGTCTCTCTCTGTTGCTCAGGCTGGAGTGCAACGGTATGATCACAGTTCACTGCAGCCTTGAACTTCTGGGGTCAAGTGATCCTCCTGCCTCAGCCTCCCAAGTTGCTGGGATTACAGGAATGAGCCATGTGCATCACTAATTTTTAAAAATTTTTAAATGTTTTTAGAGATTAGGTTTTTCTCTGTCATCTAAGCTGGAGTGCAGTGGTGCAGTCATGGCTCACTACAGCCTTGACCTCCTGGGCTCAAGACATCCTCTCATCTCAACCTTCCAAGCCCCTAGGATTATAGGCATGAGTGACCACACCCAGCTAGCTATGATATATTGCTAGCCATTAACAAAGAAGAGTAAAAAGAAGAAAATACAACCCAATATGTTGGGGTATATTTTATTTCTAGATTTAAATCTTACTGCAGATTGACATGAAGCTAGTCTTCACCAGAGTTCTGTCCTGTTTCTAGCCAAGTAACAACTAAAACAGAGAAAACGAAAATGATAACAACATGAAAGGCACTTCAAATGAGAATGATTTGCATATCACAGGATGAAAAGAGAGGCCCTAAGAACACTGATGAAACTCTCAGTTTTATTTTTGTGAAAATAACTGTTCCACTCTTGCTCTGGAAGTGAAGGTAGCCATAATGTGTCATCATATAATTTTTTCAGAAAAGAAAGCCAAAATATGAAACAATTTACAATTCATTCTCTGCCATTCTAAGAATTAGTGCATAAAGTTGGCATTACAACCACAATTATGTTCAAGATAAGATAACTTGATTTTATAATTTTTAATTTAAATTTTCAAGACTAAATCAAACATTTTCCCCCACTTTATCATGAAACCTGAGTTTCTTTTTTGAGTGGAATCACATAAAGTGGCCTTTTATGGTTTTTGTTCTCTGATAATATGAACTTGAGATTCTTGACCATTTACTTTTCAGTACTTGATGAATTTGTCCTAATCATGTGTAACTGCCACTGCCTTAATTCAGATATGTTTTACCTGAACTGTTTCACAAGTTTCTAAATGAACTCTTGACTCTCCTGTTTCCTGCTCTGATCCATGTGCACACACGACTATGAAAGATCTTTATCTTTCTAAGTTGCAAAATGACTGTGTGTGCCTCTGCATGAAACCTTCAACAACACTCCTTTATCTATGGATTAAAACCCACATTCTCTACTTTGGCATGTGTTTCTTTTGCCGGGGCTGCCATAACAAAGCACCAGAAACAGAGTGGCTTAAAGAACAGAAATTTATCATCTCCCAGATCTGGAGACCAGAAGTCCAAAATTAAGGTGTCCGCGGCGTTGATTCTTTCTTAGAGCTGTGAGAGAGCCTTGGTTCCATGGCTTTCTCCTGGCAGGTAACCTCTGGCATTCTTTGGCTTGTGAATGGCATTGTCCCTGTGATTTCATATTGTTTTCCTTCTCTGTGTCTTTGTGTCCACACTTCTCCTTTTCATAAGGACATCACTTATATTGGAGTAGGGCCTACTCTAATGACCTCCTCTTGATCATCTGCAAAGAACTTATTTCCGAATAAGGTCACAGTCACAAGTACTGGGGGTTATAACTTCCACATCTTTTGTGGGAAGGCAATTCAACCTATAACAGCATATAAATGCCTTTGTGACCCTGGATCCAACTCTTAAACCACATCTCCTGTCACCTCTACCACACACACACACACACACAGAGAGAGACAGAGAGAGACAGAGAGACAGAGACAGACACACACACACACAGAGAGACAGAGAGAGACAGAGAGACAGAGACAGACACACACACACACACACACTCAGACTCACCCTAAGGAACTTGCTCAGCAGCCACAGTAAATTATGCACCATGACCCACACTCCTGCTCATTCATGCCATTTGGACCTTTGCACACACTATGCCCTCTGCCTCTTAGAGACCTTCGCTACTATGACATTAGTTAATTCTCTCCCATAAAAGTAATCATTGGCTCACTTCTCACTGGTAAAATGAAGTTCAACAGAATGTGAGATAGGATCCTTACCTGAGACACTTGATAGCAAGGAACTCTCAAAAGTCAAAAGAAAATTGGAAATGGATCAGGGACATGGGATAAAGCCTCAGTTCCACGTCTCTCAAGGAATTTCAGGTGAGTTCCTTAGCTCTCTGGACCCTGTTTCTTAATATGAATAATGAAGAAAGGTGTTGGACTTTATGATCACCGAGGTCCCCTAAGCTCCAGTCTTTCATTTTTGAGTAGTGCTTTCAGGTTGCATTTTTCACTCATGTCTTCAAATTATGTCTAGTCCTTTTGTAACAATCCTTATGTCCATACCTGAGTAGTGTGACGTGCTTGGGGTTTTAGTTCTAAGGATGACAGCCTTGGTTTGACCTGCCCAGGAGGTCAAGGCAGGGTTGAGTTTAGTCAGTGCTCTTCCATTGCCCACCAAACCAGAACAAGATTTAGCAACAAATCTAGAAATTGTTTCTTAAATTTACTGAAGAAAGCTTACTGGTTTATTCATGCATCAGCCTGTGTACTGTATCCCCTTTCTCTCATCACTGTGCCTCAGCAAGAGTTCTTACACATTCTCTTCCTCAGCAATCTCTTGCCCACAGAGCTTCCAAGCTAGGAATAATAGAGCAGACAACATGTCTTGGCCACTTTGCAAAATTAAGAGTCTGTTTTTATGTGAAAGGAAATACTATTCCTCATTTCAAAGTTGCAAATTTAATAAACTTTTCAAAGGTTGAGAGTTATATTGGAAAAAAACCAGCAGAGACAAAGATTTGATGCCAAAATAAAGGTAAGTTTACAAAAATGTTTTAGGTTCTAGAAACTAGTGGTGTAGGAATAACAGGAACAGTGTGTTGCATAATATTTTCCATACAAATATTTACTGACTCCAAGGGCAATAGCAGTAAAATATTACCCCAGGGTGAAACTTACCACTGAGATTGGGTTGAACAGCCAGTGGATCTTTATTTACCCAAAGGCAAATGTATTTGATGTATTAGCCTGGGCTCTCCAAGGTGGGGTGTTGGATGTTTATTTGCTTTTATGGGGTTACTCCCCCTGATCTATCCTATAACTGCTGAGTGCCTGCTATTTATGGAGTTTGCTTTTTCCAGGAGAGAGCCAGCAGCTTGTAGAAGCATGCTGGGTTACATAATGGTCCTGCTAGTCTGAGGAGAGCCTTCTTCTCTAACAGGATTCAACACTGCTAGGGAAGAAAGGAGGAAAGCAAGAGGCAATAGTGATGTGTTTCTGTACCAGCTTGTTACCTATTTCTTGATATAAAAAACAATTCTTTATTGAGTTCATTGTCTGTGAATAAGAAATTGTTGCCCATTTCTTAAATAAAAACAGCTCCATCTCCAGTTCCTTGTGACTATAATTGATTTATCTAGCTATACACTTGCTCAAAAGATGATCATCCTGAAGTCACATCAATAAACTTACAAATTTAAGCTGAATTGTTTTAATCATGAAACAGAAACCTTCTGATTATTTAGCTATGTAGTCCAATTGTCATCCAAATATGACCCATGTATCTACTTTCGGTGACTTCACTCACATTCAAAACTTCTGGAATTTAGATATTATCAATTATAGTCTAAGTAATTGATAGACTTCCAATTAAGATGGTGTTGTAACATCATATTCTGTTCCAAATACAGATCAATGGTAGATGCAGTATAAAAGGGGGCCTATCAAAGACACAAGTAAGAAAACAACTACCTGGGCTAGGAAAGGAATGGAAACATGAGGTGGTGAATGGAGCTGCACTTGTGGTTATTTGGAGCTTGAGGTCCCAAAGCAATTGTAGCAAATGACAGTTCAGTTTCTAAGATAAAAGAAAAATAGTTGATGATTTGGGGAAAGGGAAGAAAATTAAGAAATATGGAAGTAACGTCAGAGAATGAAGATATGAAGTAAACTGTTTACTAAAACTTAGGAAAAAATATCCACTCCTAGTATCAAGAGAAACAAATGAAAATAAATCCCTACATAGATATGAAATAGTGAAACTACAGAAAATCAGGGACGATAAGAAAATCTTAAAAGCTACCACTCATGAAAAACAGATTAACTACAAACAACTTATCAACAACTGGAGTTTCTGGAAGACAAAGGAATAATATCTTCAGAATACTGAGGGAATATCATGATCACCATAGAGCTAAACTTGCTGAACTATTATTTCAAGTATGTGACTGTATACATCAGTTTCTAACCACATGATGGACTTGATATCCTTAAAGGCTTTTTGCTAAATACCTCTAAAATACTGGGTAAAATATGTAAAACATATCTTGAAATGCAGAACTAAGCTTGTAAGAAAGTAAGAGAAATCCTCAGAAGACAAAAACAAGCTGAAGCATTGCCTTAGTGGGGACAGTTGTCAGTCTCAGTAACCTACACTTTTTGGCTTTAAGATCTTTTGCCTGATAGACAAGTCCTTAGACCTTCAGAAAGTAAGGAATAGAATGGAGATTCCCCATACAAAGCCAGGGTCTACCTCAATGGAAAGGCAAATTCAAAAAATGAAATCCATCCTGTAAAGAGAGATTGCAAGGAGAACTATCTGTCTCAGGTCTGCCTCTGAATGGAAGGAATCAGAAAGGCTCCCCTGAGAATCTAAGAGCTACAAGTAGCCCTTTATGTAGGAGTAGGGTTTATATTCACTCTATGTGATCCAAAAAATTAATTCATACTGGTCTTGATAGAGGTGATGTAAATCCTGCAAGGAGGAATGTATCTTCTACCCAGACCTTAAAATTCCCACAAAGACATAATGAGCATTAGCTCATAATCAAAATTTTTTAAAAACACATGAAGAAACAATGTGTGAGAGTCAGTGGGGGAAAAAACAGAATCAGATACACAGAGCATCGTAAATTGGAATTATCAGGTACAGAATATAAACGTATTTATTTAAAATGTTTACATATATAAAACAGGAAATTAAAAATCTACGCTATGAACAATAAACTATCAAAAATACTTGGAAGATTGTTTAGAAGAACCAATTATCACATTGAACCATCTGAAACTTTCTATTTGGTCAAAAATGGTCAAATATTGGCAGTTTATATGGTTCCACTAATAGAATATCTAGAAGTTAAAAATACAGTGATTGAAATTCAAAAGTTATGTGCTGGAGTAAACAGGTAAAATGGAAGAGAGAGCTGAAAAAATTACCCAGAATAAAGCATGGAGAATACATAAAATATGTAAAATATCCACAAAAGGTAGATACAGAGGAAATATTGAGAAGGTTTATCATATATAAAAATGGAGTTTCAAAAAGAAAACAAGAGGTGGCATTTTTCCCCTGCTCTACAGGTCTGTGGAACTTTAAACCAGAGGGGGTGATATAGGATATCTTGCAGAAGAAATTTCTAAGAAGCAAAGCATTCAAGAGGTAACTTGGGTGCCTTAAAAAGCATTTAGTTTTATGCATTCACAAAGAGATGATTTGGAATTGGAACTTATGTTTAAAAGGGAAGCAAAGCATAAAAGTTTAGAAAATTTGCAGCCTGACAATGCAATAGAAAAGAAAAACCCATTTTCTGAGGAGAAATTCAAGCCTGCTGCAAAAATTTGTATAAGTAACAAGGAGCCAAATGTTAATTGCCAAGACAATGGGGGAAATGTCTCCAGGGCACGTCAGTGGTTTTCATGGCAGCCCCTCCCATCACAGGCCCAGAGGCCTAGGAGGAAAGGATGGTTTCATGCTCTAGTCCCAGGGCCTTTGCTGCTTTGTGCAGTCTCAGGACTTGGTGCCCTGCATCCCAGGCATGGCTAAAATGAGCCAACATACAGCTCAGTCCATTGCTTCAGAGGGTGCAAGCCCCAAGCCTTGGTGGCTTCCACGTGGTGTTGGGCCTGCAGGTGCACAGAAGCAAAAATCGAGGTTTGGGAGCCTTTGCCTAGATTTCAGAGGATGTCCAGGCAGAAGTTTGCTGTAAGGGTGGAGCCTTCATGGAGAACCTCTGCTGGGGCAATACAGAAGGGAAATGTGGGGTCAGAATCCCTACACAGAGTCCCCACTGGGACACTGCCTAGTGGAGCTGTGAGAAGAGGGCCACTATCCTCCAGACACCAGAATGGTAGATCCACTGACAGCTTGCACTGTGTTCCTGAAAAAGCTGCAGACAACGTCAGCCCATGAAAGCAGCTGGGAGGGGGGGCTGTACCCTGCAAAGCCACAAGGGCGGAGCTTTCCAAGACCATGGGAGCCCATCTCTTGCATCAGTGTGACCTGTATGCGACACACGAAGTTAAAAGGATATCATTTCAGAGCTTTCAGATTTTACTGCCCAGCTAAATTTTCGACTTGCATGGGCCCTGTAGCCCCTTCATTTGGGCCAATTTCTCCCATTTGGAATGGATGTATTTACACAATGCCTGTACCCCCATTATATCTAGGAAGTAACTAACTTGATTTTCATTTTACAGGCTTATAGGCAGAGGGGACTTGCCTTGTCTCAGATGAGACTTTGGACTTGGACTTTTAGGCCAATGCTGGAATGAATTAAAGCTTTGGGGACTGTGGGAAGGCATGATTGGTTTTGAAATGTGAAATGCACATGAGATTTGCGAGAGGGGATGAAATGATATGGTTAGGCTTTGTGTCCCCACCGAAATATCATCTTAAATTGTAATCCCCATAATCCCCATGTGTCAAGGGAGAGACCAGGTGGAGATAATTGAATGCAGTAATGAAAATTAAACTCCTTTCTCCAGAACTTAATAAGTAAAATAATTCATCCAAAAATACCCCCAAAAATATGCTAAGAAAAGAGAATCACATCAACAAATGATTGGATAAAGAAAATATGGTATATGTACACAATGGAATACTATTCAGCCATAAAAAAGAATGAAATCTTGTCTTTTGCAGCAACATGGATGCAACTGGAGGCCATTATCTTAAGTGAAATAACTCAGAAGTCGAAAGTCAAATTTCACATGTTCTCACTTACAGGTGGGAGCTAAATAATGTGAACCCATGAACATAGAGTGTGGAATAGAATTTGGAGACTCAGACAGGTGGGAAGAGGGTAAAGAATGAGAAATTACCTAATAGGTACAATGTACATTATTCTGGTGTTGGTTGCAGGGAAAGTCCAGACTTTATCACTTTGCAATATATCCATGTAATGAAATTGCACTTGTACCCCTTACATTTCTACAAATTCAATTTTGAAAAAGAAGAGAGAATCATATTAAATTCTCCCACTTTTTAAGTAAAAAAATAGCGGTAATACCCAGTGGTGACAGATTCAGAAAAAAGTTAGGAAATGTTCTTGTAGATAAGCGTCTGTCATTCTGATGGATCATGACTAGTGCATTCACTTGTGATTCCTTTGCCTTTAAAAAATAATGATATTAAAAGAAAAAATAAGTGCCTTATACTGTGAAAAATGATAAAAAGGACTTCATGATTCTAAAAAGAAGAAAGAGACTTATCAAAGAGATAATAAGAGGGAATATTTCAGAATTAATGAAAAAATATGAAACCTAAGAATTGGGAGTCACAGCAAATCCCAAACGGGAAAAAAAATACACACTCAGATACATTGTTGTTAAACTTTAGAACTCTAAAGACAAAGAAAATCTCAAAGTCAGAGATATAGAAAAGATCCAGGAAAGGAACAATAACAAAAACTGCCATTTTTCCTCATGAGAAATAATGAAGCATTATCTTCAAATGGCTCAGAAAAAAAATTCACTGTCAGCCTAGAATTGTATACTTATTAAAACAACATTTTAGAGATGAAATAGGGATATTTTCAGATTGTAATAGTATCTCCTTATGCAGCAGGTGTCAACAAAGTAGTCTTATAGTAAGGTTATATGACAATTAAATGAGTTAATACATATACTTTAAAAAGAGCTTGGCACATCATAGGTAATCAATAAATATTTACTAATATTATGTTAAGTATTCTAGGTGAACAAAACCAGGAAATTGCACTATCAGCAAATTTTCACTAAAGACAATTTTAAAGAATGTATTCATTAAGAAGGAAAATGATCCCAGAAGGAAGGTCTGAGATATAAGAATGAATGATGACCGAAGTATATTGTAAAGATATTTAATCTAAAAAAGTTTATTGACTATGGAAATCAATAATAGTTTCTGATTTATCAATTTGAAAAAAGAAATATTGTCCAACAAAACCTTGTAAAACTCAGAGAGATTGATTAATTAAAGTGCTTTAGGCCCTTATACCATTTGTTAAGATGGAAATGATTTTGGTTAAGTCTAGAGTTGTTAAATAGGGCCTTTAAAATTCTAAGGGTAAACCTAAAAATAAAATATAACAGAGGGGAAAACAGAATAAAAACTATAACAAGCAAAATAAATGCTCACAAAAACACAGGAAATAATTAGAATGAGAAGAATGGAAAAGTCAGGAAAAACAGAATTCTTAACAATAGTAACAGATGAAAGTAGTTCAAGATAGCTGAGAAATCCTTTCATCTTGATCAATAAAAGGATAGACATACTGAACAACTGTAGACTTTTGTTATAAACATTTATAGTTATGCTATAAAAACCCTGGAAGATAACCTAGGAAATAACATTCTATACATAGGACCTGGCAAAGATTTCATGACAAAGATGCCAAAAGCAATTGTGACAAAAACAAAAATTGACAAATGAGACGTAATTAAACTAAAGAGCTTCTGCACAGCAAAAGAAACTATCAACAGAGTAAATAGCCAACCTACAGAATCAGAGAAAATATTAGCAAACTATGCATCCAGTGAAAGCTCAATATCTAGAATCTGTAAGAAACTTAAACAAATTCAGCAAAAAACCAAAAATCCCTTTAAAAAGTGGGCAAATGATGTGAACAGACACTTTCCAAAAGAAGACCTCCATGTGGCCAACAAGCATATGAAAACATGCTCAACATCACTAATCACTAGAGAAATGCAAATCAAAACCATAGCGAGATACCATCTCTCACCAGTCAGATGGCTATTATTAAAAAGTCAAAAAATTACAGATGCTGGTGAGGTTGCAGAGAAAAGAGAACATTTATACGCTGCTGGTGGGAATGTAAATTAATTCAGCTATTGTGGAAAGCAGTGTGGCAATTTCTCAAAGAACTTAAAAAAATTACCGTTTGACCCAGCAATTTCATTATTGGGTATATATCCCAAGAATTATAAATCATTCTACCATAAAGACACATGCACACGTATGTTCACCGCAGCACTATTCACAATAGCAAAGACATGAAATCAATGTAAATACGCATCAACAGTAGACTGGATTTAAAAAAATGTACATATACACCATGGAATATTATGCAGCCATAGAAAAAGAATGAGATCGTGTCCTTTGCAGCAACATGAATGGAACTAGAGATCATTACCTTAAGTGAACTAATGCAGGAACAGAAAACCAAATACCACGTGTCCTCATTTATAAGTAGAAGCTAAATATTGAGAATACATCAACACAAAGAAGGGAACAACAGACATCAGGGTCTACTTGAGGGTGGAAGGTTGGAGAAGGGAGAGGATTGAAAAAGTACCTACCAGGTACTATGCTTATTTATATGGGTGATGAAATAATCTGTACACCAAATGCCCATGACATGCAATTTACCTATATAACAAATCTGCACATGTACCTAAAATAAAATGTTTAAAAATTATCATTACGTATGTTAAAAGTCAAGGATCAGTGCTAAATGAACAGAAATACTAATTTATGTATTGATTTTGTCTTTTTGCATGTTAATTGAATGTAAAATTTCTAGAATTCAAAAATAATCTAAAACTTGTATCACCTTATATTAATCAGGGTTCCTAGGTATAAGCAGTATAAACTAATTGTGCTTAACTTGAGCTAATAATAAACTTACTAGAAAGATGCTAAGTGGTCCACAAAAATAATAGGCTGGATAACTAAGTTTATAAATTTTTCAGGAGCTAAGGGAGATTAAATTGAAAGAAAACACAAAGTCATACCAAAGTCATGTCTGGTTAGGTATTTCTGGACACTTGTGGCCATTACTGTCACATTGTAAAGATATTTAATCTAAAAAAGTTTATTGACTATGGAAATCAATAATAGTTTCTGATTTATCAATTTGAAAAAAGAAATATTGTCCAACAAAACCTTGTAAAACTCAGAGAGATTGATTAATTAAAGTGCTTTAGGCCCTTATACTATTTGTTAAGATGGAAATGATTTTGGTTAAGTCTAGAGTTGTTAAATAGGTGATGCACTCACCACCAATGCCTGGTCCCATATACCACTTCCACTCGGTGGTGGGCCACTGCTGGTCACATCTAACTATATGACTTTGCAGATAGATAATGTCCCCTTTATGATAAGCAGCTTGTCACATGGTCATCTGATGGGTCATGGTCAGGTGTTCCACCATGGTCAGGTGTTTAGTATCTAAAAACGCCTAGAACTAGGCTAGAGCTATTTTATAGGAGGAGCATTGCTACCCTTTAAAAGGGCAGATTTTATGTTATGTAAACTGCATCTCAATAAAGCTGTCATTTTAAAAAAAGCATTTCACAGCGAAGACATTTAATTTTTTGTTATGGTTACATTTTCTTTTGGGTGCAAGTTTTTTCTCTGGAGTTGGCAATCTCCTTACTTTTTTTTTGTTTGCCTAATTTCAATGATCCCATCATTAACTTATTCTCAAAATCTCTATCAGAGTTTATTCTCTCAGTACATTCAAATATATATTTTGTTTTTTACATATTCTGTTTCATAACTTTCTTAGTGCTTTAGCACTGTGTGTTTACATTGATTTCTGGTCAACTGAGATGTTTCATTTGTATGGGGGAATGTCTTACCCTTATGTCTTTCTTTAACTGGTATTGCTATTTTTTGTAACAAAGGGGTGCTCAATTAGATATTTTGCTCTATTCTCCAGCCCTCTCTCACCTTCCCGCCCCCAAGCCCTTGCTTTTTTGGATGCGCTAATTCAAATTAAAAATGTTTTTTATCATGAATATCTGTTAACATTTACAAATGTTTTTCTGTCTCTATTGAAATGATCATATGAATTTTTTCCTATAGTTTGCTATGTCGTAGACACTGATTGATTTTCCAAGGTTGAACCAATTTTGCCTTCCTAGAATAAACCCAGATTGGTCACCATGTAACATTATTTTTCACTTTATCACTTGATTGCTAATATTTTATTTAGGATTTTTAAATCTGTTTATGAGTGACATAGGCTTAAATGAGTTGGGAAGTTCTTCTTCTTTTTTTTTTGAGAGTTTATATAAGGTTGGAATTGTTTATGCCTTAAATGTTTAGTAGAATTTCACCAAGGAAGCCATCTGACATGGAGTTTATTTTAGATACTTTAAATAACAAATTTAACTTAATAGATATAAGACTATTCCGATTTCTCTTCACTTGTGTGTTAGTTTTGATAAGTTGGTTTTTGTAGGAATTTTTTCAGTTCATGTAAACTTTCAAATTTATTGACATAATGTTTTTCATTACTTATTGTACTTTTTTTATGCCACAATGTCCCTTCTTGAATTCCTGATTTTATAATGTGTGCCTTCTCTCTTTTTTCTCCATATTTTATCAATAATTTATTAATCTTGTTGGTCTTTTGAAGGACCAACTTTTTTTTTTTTTTTAGACAGAGTCTTGCTCTGTCACCCAGGCTGGAGTGCAGTGGCCTGATCTCAGCTCACTGAAAGCTCCGCCTCCTGGGTTCAACCAGTTCTCATGCCTCAGCCTACCAAGTAGCTGGGATTACAGGCGTGCACCACCACACCCAGCAAATTTTTGTGTTTTCAGTGGCGATGGGGTTTCACCATGTTGGCCAGGCTGGTCTTGAACTCCTGACCTCAGGTGACCTGCCCACCTCAGCCTCCCAAAGTGATGGGATTACAGGCATGAGCCACCGCACCCCGCCAGGACCAACTTTTTGTTTCATTTTCTAATTCATTCATTTTATTCTCATGTTTATTGCTTCCTTTCTTCTACTTTTTTTGGGATGTAATTGCTATTCTTTTTTTAACCTCTTGAAATGGTTACTTAGATTATTATTGTCAAACTTTTTTAATATATCATTTAAGGCTATTGATTTTCTTCTAATCATGGCTTTAGCTAAATTCCACAAACTTTGACATTTGATATTTCTATTAGTGTGCATTTAAAAATACTATTTACTTTCCCTTGTGATTTCTTCTTTGGCCCATGCGCAATTTAGAAGATTACAGCGTACTTTCTAAGTATTTGGGCTTTATCTAATTTAGTTCCACTGTGGTCAGAAAATATACTGAATTAGTCACCTCACACTGCCATAACAAAATACCGTAAGGGTGGCTTCGAAGACAGAACTGTATTTTCTCACAGTCTGGAGGCTGGAAAGTCCAAGACTAAAGGGTTCAGTTTTTGGTGAGGGCTCTCTTCCTGACTTGCAGACAGCAGATGTCTTGCTGTGTCCTCACATGGTGGAGAGAGAGCAAGCTCCCTGGTGTCTCTTTTTACAAAGGCACTAATCCCATCATGAGGGCTCCACTCTCATGTCCCCATCTAACCCTAATTACCTCTCAAAGGTCCCATCTCTAAATACCATCATGCTGGGGTTTAGGGCTTCAACATTTGAATTTGTTGGTGACACAAACCTTCAGACCACATCACAGACCCTGTATTGTTTTAATCTGTTGATTAATTTGCTTCTTTTTTATTTAGAATTTATACTTTCATTTAGGATTCAGGATATATAACCACATGCAAAAGTTTGCTTTATATATATTTGTCAGCTTTTGTGTTCAGATTTTTTCTAGCTTTATAATATGCATAAAATAAAATATTTTCATCTTCTTATTTTGGAACATTTAAGATAATATGGGAATTCACCTGTTTCTTGAAAATTTGTAGGACTTGACCACAAAACTAGTGAGGTCCAGTCCCTTTCTTGAATGGAACTTTTGTAATTCCTTAGAAAGTTATCTATTTTACCCATATTTTCAAATATATTATTAAATCTCCTATATTCTTATTAATGTCTGCCTTGTTAATATGCCAAGGGTTTAGCAAAGTATTTTAAATATTTTAAATTTTTTAATTTTTTTTGTCCATTTTTCCTATACTTCATAGCTCATGCTTTTTACAAGTTTATGTTTTATATTTAATCTCCATACTTGTATGATTATATCTTCATTGTGAAATTTTTCCTTCATAAATAAAACTTTTATTCTTTTGTCCTATTATATCTGCATTAAATACTACTTTTCATTTTATTTTTATTTATACAAGTAGGAGGTGTTTATAATAGAAAATTAGAAAAGAGAAAAACTGAGAATCATTTTTAGATTAAATACTAATTAATTTTTTCAGAGAAATAATATTTTTTCCAATATGAGTGCTTATTTTAATAAAAATCAGAGAAAAAATCAGCAAGAATAAAGAAAATAAAAATCCTATAGTTAGATATCATCACTGGCAACATTTTAATGAATAATTATTCAGATTTTTTTCTGCATGCATTTATAAATGCATAAAATAGGATTATACTCTACAAATTATTTTATGACCTTTTCTTTTCTATTAAAAATATATCATGACTGTATTTCTATGTTAATAACTATACATCTACTTTATTATTTTAATGGCTGCTAGCATTGTGCTGTATGAATGGACAGTTATTTTCTGCTATATTGTTAAACATTTATATGATTTCCTTCCATTTTGTAAAATGTAATTCAATTTAATTTTTGTGTGTGTGCTGTTATTACACACTACCCTGGAGCCAGCATCCTTTTATGAACATTTTAAACATTTAAAAATGGTTTCCTCATGATGTATCTCTACAGTAACTAGTGAAGAATTCATGTTTGCTAATTAAATATCCACAAATTAAAATAACCATAATGTGTAATTTTTCAGCCATCAGATGGGCAGAGACTTTTCTCAATGATATTCTCCAATGTGGTTAGGGGTGTGGGCAACTAGGTGCTCTCAAATGCTTCTGGTGGGAGTGTAAATTGGGAGAATCTTCCTTGAAGGCAACTTGGAAATATGTGTCGAAAGCAGCTGCCCTGGTTTTTCATTTTTACAGATGTTTTATGAGAAAACCTGATTTTTCCAAGATCTTATTGGAAAGGAATCACATTATATATATGTTGTAAATCCAATCCTAACATTAAAGAATTTTCTTAGGGATATTCCAAATAATGAAGCCAGGTGCCCTGAAGATTTCCTGAAGTGTGCTTTTAAACATTTAAAATTTCTTTTGACACCTATATAAATCATCATTGCCTTGGGGCTCCATTCAAAACAGAACCAGGATTTTATTTTTGATATATAGTGGTAGGACAGGATGGGAACAGATCTGCTGCTTTTTACTCTGGACTTTCCCAAATGGGAAAGATCTTTAAACACTTTCCTGACATTTCTTGCCTTTAAATACTATATTTCTGTGTTTTAATTGCGTATATTGATGGAGATGCTGTGACTGTAGAATCTGTATACAGGGTGTGAAGTCTGGAAGCCCAGAGGAGAGCTTCACGTTGTTCATGCTCTGATGGTTGCACGTTGGTTTATTGGACTGTTCAACTTTCCCCACTTGTTTTCTGTTTTAGGTGGCATGTGGGCTCTTGGGGGCCCTGCTCAGCTACCTGTGGAGTTGGAATTCAGACCCGAGATGTGTACTGCCTGCACCCAGGGGAGACCCCTGCCCCTCCTGAGGAGTGCCGAGATGAAAAGCCCCATGCTTTACAAGCATGCAATCAGTTTGACTGCCCTCCTGGCTGGCACATTGAAGAATGGCAGCAGGTAGGGCAGACTGGCCACTCCAGGGCCCTCTGTGATTATGACTGTGAGAGGCCCTGCACTGCACTAACATAGAGTGGGCCAAGCCTGCCGCCTCACCCCCTCTTGTCTTCTTAGTGTTCCAGGACTTGTGGCGGGGGAACTCAGAACAGAAGAGTCACCTGTCGGCAGCTGCTAACGGATGGCAGCTTTTTGAATCTCTCAGATGAATTGTGCCAAGGACCCAAGGCATCGTCTCACAAGTCCTGTGCCAGGACAGACTGTCCTCCACATTTAGCTGTGGGAGACTGGTCGAAGGTAAGGGCCAGGCTCAACTTTATAGTCCCTTCTTTTCTGCCCCTCCTTTGTTTCAGCTTCTAAATATTTCCACAAGATCAGGCTGGAACTACTGTGAGATGAGTATGGGTCCTAGGGGGCCACATTTAAGGAGGTGCTCACTCACTCTCGGGTTTGTGCAAGTTCCGTAGTCCAGGCCTGCACACAATGATTCATTTCCAGTTTTTACTCAATATTATTCAAAGTGTTATCATCATCATTCTCCCAAACCAGCCCCTTCTTTTGGAACTACCAGGATCATAGTATCCCAGGATAAACTCAGAATCACTTTGGTTCCTCTCTTCCTTGTGTCCTCCCATGTGGAATCATTCATTAAGCCCCGTCATTCCAACATTTTGAACATCTTCCATGCCTTAACTTCCTCTGTGTTCTGTCACTTATGCTGTTAATTTTACCCTTCATCATGGCAAGCTTGAATTAGTGCAGTGAGTAGAATTCTAGTAGATCGTTTCAGTGCTGGCAGGGCTTGACCCAGTCTAGTAATGAAGCCTTATTTTTCAGGTGGGGGAAATTAAATCCCAATAGCTGAAGTAAGCTGCCTAAGCTCCACAGCTGGAAAAGTAGCAGAATCCACTTGTTTTGACTTTATTCCAAGAGTTCTTTCTGTTATATTACACTGCCCACTTGATCTTTCTGTATTACTCTCCCATCTCCAGACTAGCTAACATCCCATAGTGTTCCCATCACTGTGTCCATCAAGTCTCCAGCTTGTTCAGAATCTTCCATAAGTCTGATTGCTTGCAAAATCAAGTACAGTAGTCCCAGTTTATTCACAGGGAATACAGTCCAAGACCCCAGTGGATGCCTGAAACTGTGGATCATACTGAATTTTATATATCCTATGTTTTTTTTTATCTGATAACTGAGAAGACTACTTAAGTGACTAATAGGCAGGTAGCATGGATGGAATGATTCATGTCCTGGGCAGATGGAGCGAGATGGTGAGAGATTTCATCACACTACTCAGAACGTCATGCAAACTAAAACTTACAAATTGTTTATTTCTGGAATGTTCTATTTAATATTTTTGGACCACAGTTAACTGTGGAAAGCGAAACCGTGGATAAGAAGGGACTATTGTATATGTTCCCCAGAATAGCTGGTAGGGCCTTTCTTGCACTCATGGCTCTCTTACTCCAGTCCTTATTCTTCTTCCAGCCCTTTGCTCCAGTCTTGCTGCATCCTTAACATCTGCAGGCTGAGATTTTAGCACAGATTCCAAAACACATAATTAGTTATGTTATCAGTGTCTTGTAACCTTCAGTCACTGCTAACTGGTAGGTATCTTCTTGGAGTGGAGACCCAACCCCAACATCAGAACTAACCTCAAGAAATAAGGAAGGACAGTGAGTGACATTCACAACCTGCTCTGAGTCCTAGGTTCAGTGCCAGGCATAGTCATGACCTGCTCCTCTCATATCATCCTACGATAGCCCCAGAAGCAGACGTTGTCTCCCTTTTTATAGATGAGAAAAACAGAGGTTCATTCAGATTAAGTAACTTGCCCAAGGACAGAGATAGATTCAAACCCAGGCCTGTGTGACCCAAAATTATTACACATGTATACACTCCTGTCTTTTATGCAAGAGAAAAGGCTTTTGAGTCCAACAGACCCATGCTGGTACCCCAGCTCTAAAGCCTAAATCTGGGTGGCCTTGTTAAATACACCTAACCTCTCTGAGCTTCCGTTTACTTTCGCTAAATGCAATGGTTCTTGTGAGGATAACATAAGATATTTGACATGGCAATGTCTAGTAGAGTAGGCTCTTCCCATTGCCCTTGATAGAAGGTCCACATTTCTGGCTGTAGGTTGGATTAACAGTATTTCTGTACATATATCCAGATTGGGATTTTTCCTGTTTTAACCGTGTAGTTTTGTTAAGTGCTAGTATTTTAAAACTGTCTTAACTGAAAACCTACAGGTCATTATCCTCAATCAAGGCCACTGAAGGTCTACATAAACTTTCCCTGAAACCTCAGAAGAGGCCCAAGGAAAGAGATGAACCCATCTCTCCAGGGTCTACAGAGCAGGAGTTGCCCTAGGATCCAGCCACCAATACCCACTTCCTCTATCCAACTCACAAGCAGCTGGAGACAGTGCCAGTGGCCACAGCTCTCCCCGGAAAGTTGCCATACTATAGGTCAATGACTTGAGGGACAGGAGTCCCTCCTGCAGTCAGGTCCTAAACAAAGAGAAAGGACTGATCCAGGTGAGACCACCACCCCAAAGGAGGGTGGGAAGGACAGGTAGAAGGTCTGTCTGGAGAGCTTTGTGTGCAAAAGTGGGTTTGCTTAATTTTCCTCCTACTTGCACAAGGAACAATAGACGGCCCAAGGGAGAATCATTCTTTTGGGAATTCCTTTGAGACTAGGTCAGGCAGTGGGGGCTGGGCAAAGGTGTTAGAGAGGTGGGTAGCCTGGGTGGGCTAGTGTGTAGGCAGTATTTATTCCATCACCCAGCTAAGCCCCAAGAGTGAAGTCTTACCTTGCCCCATTGTCAGGAGAGATGAAGGTTCCAGTTACTGTTTCCATAAAGTTAGGGACAGAAGGAAGGGCCACAATTTTGTGGGGAGAATCTTGGCATTGTGATGCGTGATTCTCCTTGCTACACTTAGTGTGGCCCAAGGACTAGTCAAATTGACATCAGCAGGGAACTTATAAGAAATGAGGAATCTCAAGTCCCACCCAGACCTAAGGAATCAGAGTCTGCATTTCAACAAGATCCCTGGGTGTTGTAATGATACACTTGCAGTGTGAGAAGTGTTTCCTTACCTGCCTCTCATTCTTGTTTGGGTGAGTTAGCCCTTACATGTGTCCAAGGTAGGAATGGCCCTGGGTAGTGACTTCTTTGATCAAGTGCTGCCCTAACCTAAAGGGAGGAGGCAAGAAAAGGGAAGAACAGCAAAGGGGCAGATATTGAGGAGGAGAAACCAGACAGCTTGTTTCTGGATGCAGCGAGGGAGCACCTAGAACCACTGCCAAGCTCTAAAATACCCCACTTTGCTTCTGTCCTTGCTTCTTTCCTCTAAGAACAAACAGGCCTTCACAGTTATATCCTGCCTGGTGGAACAAACGGTTGTCACTGGTGTCTTAGAGTGGAGGCTAGTGGTGACATCACCACTTTCCTCCGTGTCCGCTCTCTCAGTGAATAACTGAATTTACAGTTGCCAGTTGCGTATCACTAAAGTAACACCATTGCACATCTATGTGGGCCCACTTGTGTGTCTTTGCTCTTGTGGCTTTCAAATCCTTGGTCCAACTGTGAGCTTTCCTCTTCTGTGAAGTTTTCCACTTCCTAAAGTCACCCAGCATTTCCGACTTTTAAATCACAGTGACCCTAATTTTTACTGTTTTGCAATGGTAGCTATTTCCTGAGCATCCACATGGTCTTCCCATCTGGTTTATATTGTCCTTGAGGCCAGTGGCCATGGGATTGCCAACAGGTCCTCCAGTTGTTCAGAGCTCTAAGCAAGTAAATACTATTCCTCAACAGTCTTTGCAAAGTCAGAGAAAATCCAAAGTGGTGTTGAAATAGTGATCTTTAGAAGAGCTCAGGTCTGCTAACACAGGAGAGGCAGATCGTTCATTGGAGGGGTTTTTGTTGAGACAAAGAAGAAAAGGAAACTTAAGAGGAGGCTACCCATGTGAGCTGGTTTGGACTGGAGGCTGTTTAGTTTCATAGGCAACCATTCATCAGGGCAAAGAGCAAGCTCTTCTGTGCTCCAAGAGGTCAGCCCAAACTCAAACAAGACACTCTGGCTTCCAGTCATGACCTCACATCTAGGAAGCCCCTATCTGGGAGGAAGGGCAAGCGTATATACACGCACAAGAAAACAGAGGCAGCCTCAGCCTGTGACACCAAAAGCCATTGGTGAGGCTTGAGCGCAGTCAGGCACACAACCTGTTGCACAGAAATTTTAGTTTTCTACTGGATGGAGCTTTCTCCTGTTAGTTAAAATTTCTTCTCATCAGAGTTGCTTTTTTTTGGCAGAGACTCTGATACCAAATTGCCACCCTTCTTAAAGCTTCCTGCCAAACTAGTCCTTCTGCCATGGGATGGCTCACTTGGGGGCAGCCATCCATTTTGTGGTTCTGGATAAGGTCCTTCCACGTTGAAACTGGCCACTAACCCTGGACACAGAAAGGCTGAGCAGCCACGCCAGAATTTCCATTCTTCACGGAGCCAGGCCTCTGGCTTGCAGCCAGAATCTTCCTCTTCCCCGACACTAGCTCTATTCATGATATGTTTAAGCTCTGTCCATTCATTGGCTTATGAGTTTGCCTTGGTTCCTTAGATCTGGACCAAGCCTTAGGCAGAAAGGAGCCTTCAGTTCTTACACTGCTTTTGAAGTTATAAGAAAGGAGCATTGACTCATATCAGGCAATCTTCCCAAATGGTGAATTTCTGTGATCCACATACCCCTTGTAGCCTGTTTTGTGTCCCACCTCTTGGCTGAAATAGCCTCCTTTATTTTCTGTACTTTGATGGAACATTTGATTATTTTGTTTATCTTCACCTTTTTCCTTCATCATGTTTCTTGGTGTTTTTATTTTTTCTACTTATCTGACTATGTCTTTTCTGTTGGCTTCTCTTCTTCCAAATCTCAAAAAGCCCAATATTTGATCCTTTTCCATTGCTACACTTTTCCACTGTGGTTGATTCTGTGTCCTGAATTCTTTAACTCCCATGGATGATTTTCAATCTCCAGAAAGTCTCTAACCTTCTAACCACGTCTCCAGCTCTCCATCTAGTTTATATCCTCATCGTGGGAAAGCAAAGGGACAGCCTCTTCACTCTCTCCCAACCAGTTCTCCCCACTTCCTGTCTCTGTCCATGTACCACTGTCTTCCAACACTTATGATCATCTCTGAGTTCTTCACCTCCTATATTGTTATTCGTATCTGCCAACTCTTCAACTCTTGAACTATTAATATATCTAATATGCTAAGTAAAAAGGAAAATATCTCTATAACTGAAAAATGTTATAAAGAACAACCCAAGATATGTCCAGGATACATGGATTTTAAAATATGGCATTCCCCGATTTTCCATAGAACTATGAATTACAACTCGTGAAGGAAGTAGTGTGTTGAAGTCAGTTCTTACTGGCCAGTGAGAACCACTTATGATCTCATCCCAACTTGTGCTCAGTCACATAGGGTTGATAGCTGGAAATCAGCCATGATGGGAGTATTTACACCACAGAAACTGGCAAAACCATCATGGCTATTTCCTCCAAGAACATGTTTTGAAACATTTACCAGCACACAAGTGCACAAAAGCTTATTTACACACACACACACACACACACACACACACACACAGAGTTATGAATGAAACACTTTCAGCTTATCGATGGTGCTTAGGATGGAAGTGCCCTCAAGAAGCTCCCATCTCTGAGCTCTTTGATACAAAGTCTAAGAAACTTGGTTGGGCTTCCTTAAGACATTTTTTATCTTTATCTTCATAACTGGTGTTTCTTGGGGCCAGGAAATATCAGACCTCTGGGTGAAGATACATTCTATGAATCATTATCCTACAGATTTAATTTGGTCTTGATCGAAGGTTGTTGATCTAAATGCATTAACTGTATGTTCAGATATTCTTTCTGTGAATAAAAGACCAGTTCAGCTCTTAAGGTTTATTATAAAACTCTTCTTTTACTCATTTTTATTATGTGTTATTAATTATGAGTTTTTTATTATGAATCACTAGGCAGATAACAATTCTTTTTGAATTTTTTTATTTTTAATTTTTGTGGGTATATAGTAAATATATATTTTATGGGGTACATGAGATACTTTGAAACAGTTATGCAATGTGTAAGAATCACAAAATGGAGAATGGGGTATCCATCCCCTCAAGCATTTATCCTTTGTATAATAAACAATCCAAATTATATTATTTTAATTATTTTAAAAATGCAATTGAATTGTTTTTGGATATAGTCTCCCTGTTGTGCTAGCAAATACTAGGTCTTACTGATTCTTTCTAACTATTTTTTGTACTCATTAACCATCCCCACATCCCTGCCCAACTACCCTACCCAGCCTTTGATAACCATCCTTCTACTCTCTATCTCCATGAGTTCAATTATTTTAATTTTTAGCTCCCACAAATAAGTGAGAACATGTGATGTTTGTCTTTCTGTGCCTGGCTTATTTAACTTAACATAATGACCTTCAGTTCCATCCATGTTGTTGCAGATGATAGGATCTCATTCTTTTTTATGGCTGAATAGTACTCCATTGTGTATATGTACCACCTTTTCTTTATCCATTAGTCTGCTGACGGACACTTAGGTTGTTTCCATATCTTGGCTATTGTGAATACGGCTGTGGTATACATGGGATTATAGATAGCTCTTTAGTATCTGATTTTCCTTTCTTTTTGGTATATACCTAGGAGTGAGATTTCTAGATCATATGGTAGCTCTATTTTTAGTTTTTTGAGGAACCTCCAAACTGTTCTCCATAGTAGTTGTTTTAATTAACATTCCCACCAACAATGTACAAGGGTTCCCTTTTCTCCACATCCCTGCCAACATTTGTTATTGCCTGTCTTTTAGATAACAGCCATTTTAACTGGAGTGAGATGGTATCTCATTGTAGTTCTGATTCGCATTTCTCTGGTGATCATTGATGTTGATCACCTTGTCATATGCCTGCTTGCCCTTTGTTTGTCTTCTTTGGTAAATGTCTATTCAGATCTTTTCCCATTTTTAAACTGGATTATTAGATTTTTTTTTCCTATAGAGTTGTGTGAGCCCCTTATATGTTCTGGTTCTTAAACCTTTGTCAGATGGGTAATCTTCAGATATTTTCTCCAATTCTGTGGGTTGTGTCTACTTTGTTGATTGTTTTATTTGCCGTGTAGAAGCTTTTTAACTTCATGTGATCCCATTTGTCCATTTTTACTTTGCCTGTGCTCGTGGGGTATTAATCAAGAAATATTTGCCCAGAGCAGTGTCCTGAAAAGTTTCCCCAACGTTTTCTTGTAGCAGTTTCTTAGTTGAGGTCTTAAACTTAAGGCTTTAATCCATTTTGATTTGATTTTTGTATATATTAAGAGAGAGGGGTCTAGTTTTACTCTTCTGCATATGGATATCCAGTTTTCCCAGCATCATTTATTGAAGAGATTGTCCTTTCCCCAATGTATGATCTTGGCACCATTGTCAAAAATGAGTTCACTGTAGATCTATGGATTTATCTCTGGGATCTCTACTCTGTTCCATTGGTCTATGTGTCTGTTTTTATACCAGTACTATGCTGTTTTGGTTACTATTATCTCTGTAGTATAATTTGAAGTCAGATAATGTGATTCCTCCAGTTTTGTTCTTTTTAGTCAGGATAGCTTGGGCTATTCTGGGTCTTTTGTTGTTCTTTATAAATTTTAGGATTTTTTTATTTCTGTGAAAAATGTCATTGATATTTTGATAGGGATTGCATTGAATCTGTAGATCGCTTTGGGTAGTATGGACATTGCAACAGTATTGATTCTTCCAACCCATGAACATGGAATATCTTTCCATTTTTTATAGTCCTCTTCAATTTCTTTCATCAATGTTTTATAGTTTTCATTATAGAGATCTCTCACTTCTTTGGTTAAGTTGATTACTTGGTATTTCATTTTATTTGTAGCTATTGTAAATGGGACTACTTTCTTGATTTTTTTGATTGTTCGCTGTTGGCTTATAGAAATGCTACTGATATTTGTATGTTAATTTTGTATCCTGCAACTTTACTGAATTTGTTTATCAGTTCTAATAGTTTTTTGGTGGAGTCTTTAGGTTTTTCCAAATGTAAGATCATATCATCTGGGAACAGAGATAATTTGACTTCTTCGTTTCCAATTTGGATGCCCTTTATTTCTTTTCTTTTCTTTTTTTTTTTTTTCACCTGATTCCTCTAACTAGGACTACTAGGACTATGTTGAATAACAGTGGCGAAAGTGAGCATCCTTGTCTTTTTCCAGATATTACAGGAAAAGCCTTCAGTTTTTCCCCATTCAGTATGATACTAGCTGTGGGTCTGTCATACATGGCTTTCATTGTGTTGAGGTATGTTTCTTCTATACTCCTTTTTTTTAGGATTTTTGTCATGAAGGGATGTTAAATTTTATCACGTGCTTGTTTGGCATTAATTAAAATGATCATATGGTTTTGTTCTTCATTCTGTTGATATGATGTATTACATTGATTGATTTGCATGTGTTAAGCCATCCTTGCATCCCTGGGATAAATCCCACTTGGTCATGATGAATGATCTTTTACTGTGTTGTTGAAATCACTATGCTGATATTTTGTTGAGAATTTTTGCATCAGTGTTCATCAGGCCCTGTAGTTTTCTTTTTCTCTTTTTGATGTGTTTTTGTCTGGTTTTGGTATCAGATTAATACTGGCCTGATAGAATGAGTTTGGAAGTATTCTATCCTCCACTATCTTTCAGAACAGTTCGAGTAAGATTGGTCTTAGTTCTTTAAATGTTGGTAGAAACCATCAGTGAAGTCATTGGATCTCAGGCTTTTCTTTACTGGGAGACATTTTATTATGGCTTTGATCTTGTTAGCTTGTTATTGGTCTGTTCAGGTTTTGGATTTTTTCATGGTTCAATCTGGGTAGGTTGTATGTGTCTAGGAATTTAGCCATTTCTTCTAAATTTTCTAATTTATTGATATGTAATTGCCATAGTAGCAACTAATGATCCCTTGAATTTTGCAGTATCAGTTCTAATGTCTTCTTTTCCATCTCTGATTTAATTTATTGGGGTGTTCTCTCTTGTTTTCTTAGTCTGGCAAGAGTTTTGTCGATTTTATTTATGTTTTCAAAAAACCAACTTTTTGGTTCATTGATCGTTTGTATCGTATTTCTTCTACTAATTTTGGGTTGTTTTGCTCTTGATTTTCTAGCTAAGATGTATTGTTAGGTTGTTTACTTGAAGTTTTTCTTCTTTTTTGATGTAGGCATTTATAGCTATAAATGTCCCTCTTAGTGTTGCTTTCACTGTATCTCATAGGTTTTGGTATGTTGTGCTTCCATTATCATTTGTTTTAAGAAAATTTTCAATTTCCTTCTTAATTTCTTTATTGACCCACTTGTCATTCAGGAGCATATTGTTTAAATTCCGTGTATTTGTACATTTTCCAAAATTTCTCTTGTTATTGATTTCTAATTTCATTCCATTGTGGTCAGAAAAGGTGCTTGATGTCATTTCAGTTTTTTGAGTGTTTTAAGACTTCTGTAGGGCTGAACATATGGTCTGTTTTTGAGAATAATCCATGTGCTGAAGAGAAGAATGTGTATTCTGCAGCCACTGAATGGAATGTTCTGTATCTATTGCCCTATAGTGTAGATTAAATTGGATGGTTCTTTGTTGGTTTTCGGCCTGGAAGATCTGTCCAGTGTTTAAAGTGGGATGTTGAAGACTCAAGCTATCATTGTATTGAGGCCTATATCTCTATATGGCTTTGATAATATTTGTTTTATATATCTGAGTGCTCCAGTGTTTAGTGCATATATGTTTACAATTGTCATATCCCGCCAGGCGTGGTAGCAAGCACCTGTAATCCCAGCTACTTGGGAGGTTGAGGCGAGAGAATCACTTGAACCTGGAAGGTGGTGGTTGTAGTGAGCCAAGATCGTGCCACTGCACTCCAGCCTGGGCGACAGAGTAAGATTCCACCTCAAAAAAAAAAAAAAAAGAAAAAAACATTGTTATATCCCCTTGCTGAACTGACCCCTCTATAAATTAAACAATGACATTCTTTGCCTGTTCTTACAGTTTTTGCCTTGAAATCTATTTTGTCTGATATAAGCATAGCACTACTGCTGTTTTTGGGGTTCCGTTGGCATGGAACATCTAACTCCATCCCTTTATTTTCAGTCTATGTGTATCTTTACAGGTGAAATGTGCTTCTTGTAGGTAGGCAACAGATCAATGGCTCTTGTTTTTTCATCCATTCAGCCTTTCTGTGCCTTTTGATTGGGGAGTTTAGTCCATTTACATTAAGTGTTACTGTTGATAAGTAGGGACTTTCTCCTGCCATTTTGTTATTTGTTTTCCGTTTGTTTTGCAGTCTTCTCTTTCTTCTTTCCTTCCTTCCTGTTTTCTTTTTAGTACAGGTGATTTTTTTCTGGTGGTATGACTTAATTTCTTGCTTTTTATTTTTTCTGTATCCATCGTATGGTTTTTGATTTGAGATTACCATGAGGCTTGCACATACTATCTTATATCCCATTATATTAAACTGATGACAACTTAACACATTGTGTAAACAAACACACAAAAAGAAAACTAATGAAAACTCTATACTTTTACTTTGTCCTCTCACTTATTAACTTTTTGTTTCTCTTTATGTTTTATTGTGCTATCCTGGCTTGAAAGTTGTTGTATTTATTATTTTTTGATTGGTTCATCATTTAGACTTTCTACTTAAGATTAGTTTTGACACCACAATCACAGTGTTATAATATTCCATGATTTTCTGTGTACTTACTATTACCAGTGAGTTTTGTACCTTCAGGTGATTTCTTCTTGCTTATTAATATCCTTTTATTTCAGACTGAAGAGCTCCCTTTAGCATTTCTTATAGGACAGGTCTGGTGTTAATAAAATCCCTCAGCTTTTGTTTGTCTGGGAAGACCTTTATTTCTCCTTAATGCTTGAAGGATATTTTCACTGGATATACTATTCTAGGGTAAAAGTTTTGTTCCTTCAGCACTTTAAATATGTCATGCCACTCTCTCCTGGCCTTTAAGGTTTCCACTGAAAAGTCTGTTTCCAGACTTATTAGAACCCCATTGTGTGTTATTTGTTTCTTTTCTCTTTTTGCTTTTATGGTATTTACCCTTGACCTTTGGGAGTTTGACTATTAAATTCCTTGAGGTAGTCCTCTTTGCACTAAGTATGCTTGGTATTATATAACCTTCTTGCACTTGAATGTTAATATCTTTCTCTAGGTTTGGGAAGTTCTCTGATATCCCTTTGAATAATTTTTCTACCCCTATCGCTTTCTCTACCTCCCCTTTAAGACTAATAACTCTTAGATTTGCCCCTTCAGGGTTATTTTCTAAATCTTGTAGGCATGCTTCATTATTTTTTATTCTTTTTTCTTTTGTCTCCTCTAACTGTATTTTAAAATACCCTGTTTTCAGGCTCACCAGTTCTTTCTTCTGGTTGATCAGTTCTGCTGCCAAGAGACTCTGATACATTCTTCAGTATGTCAATTGTATTTTTTAAATCTAGAATTTCTGCTTGATTTTAAAAATTAATCTCTTTGTTAAATTTATCTGATAGAATTCTGAATTCCTTTTCTATATTGTCTTGAATTTGTTTGAGTTTCCTCAAAATGGCTATTTTGAATTCTCTGTCATGTATCTCTGTCACTCCAGGATTGGTCCCTGGTGCCTGATGTAGTTCATTTGGTGAAGTCATGTTTTCCTGTAGATGTCCTTTGGTGTCTGGGCATTGAATAATTATGTATTTATTGTAGTCTTCACAATCTGGGCTTTACAGTCTATGCCTGTCCTTCTTGGGAAGCCTTTCCAAGTATTCAAAGGGACTTGGGCCCCAAGCCCAGTAACACTGTGCTTCATGCACACTCATAGAGATATCACTTTGGTGGTCTTGGATAAGATCCAGAAGCATTCTCTGGATTACCAGGAAGAGACTCTTGTTCTCTTCCTTTACTTTCTCCCAAACAAACAGCATCTCTCTGCCTCTGTCTCTGTCTCTCTCTCTCTCTCTGCTGAGCCACCTGGAGCTGGGATTGGGGTGATGCAAGCACCCCTATGGCCACCAACACTGGAACTGCCCTGGGTCAGACCTGAAGCCAGAATAGCACTGGGTTTCACCCAAGACCCACTGCAGCCACTATCTGGTTACTGCCTATGTTCACTCAAGGCCCTAGGGCTACAGTCAGCAAGAGTTGAAGCCATCCAGGCTTATGTCCTTCCCTTCAGGCTTATGTTCTTCCCTTCAGGGAGGCAAGTTCTTTCAGGCCCTGGGCATGTCCAGAGATACTTTCTGAGAGCCAGGGATTTAAGTCAAAAACCTTAGAAATCTACCTGGTATTCTATTACCCTGTGGCTAAGCTGCCACTGAAACCATACAACAAAATCCTTCCCCCTCTTCCCTCCCCTTTCCACAGGCAGAGGAGCTCTCCCCATGGCCATCATCATCAGCAGTCCGTAGAGAGTTCTGCCAGGCTACCATTGCTGATCACTTAATGCCTAGGGGCTCTTCAGCCAGCTTGTGAATGCTGCCAAACCTGGGATTCACCCTTCAGGGTAGTAGGCTCCCACCTCTGGCCCAGGGAAGGTGCAGAAATGCTGTCCGAAAGCCTAGGCCTGAACTCAGGGACCCCTGAAGCCCACTAGATACTCTATCCACTGTGCTGAGCTGTTACCCGAAGCCAGCATATCTCAAAGTCTCATCCAAGGCCCATGGCATACTACCTGGATATCACTTTTGGTTATTCAGGGCCCAAGGGCTCTTTAGTTAGCAGATAATTAATGCTGCCAGGACTTGGTCTTTCTCTTCAAGGCAGTGGGTTCCCTTCTGGCCCAGGGTGTGTCTAGAAATGTCACCCAGGAGCTAGGACCTGGCATGGGGGCTTCACGACTCTGCCCAGTGCACTGTCTGTGGCTGAGCTTGTATCCAAGATGCAAGACAAAGTACAAAGTCCTCTTGACTGGTCTCTCTCCTCTCCTCAAGCAGAAGGAAGGAGTTGCTTTCATTGCTACAAGCTGTGCTGCTTGGGGTTGAGGGAGGGGTAGTGCAGGTACTTCCCCAGCTGCCCCATCTGGTGTGTCACTAGGTCACACACTGCCCCAGTCCACTGGCTCTAACCCCAGAACACCATCAGACTTGCCTAAGAATCTGAGTCCTTCCTAGACTGCCTTTCAAGTTCACTTAGGACCCCACAGCACCTTAGCCCATGGTGGTGAGACTGCTGAAACTCAGGCTCCGGCCACTGGAATAGGCACTTCCCCTCTGGCTAGGGCTGGTCCAAATGCTGTCTCTGTGGGTATCAGCTGAGTTCAACATGGTTTCACTTCCCACTGTGACAGGGCAGCACTGAGTTCAATGCAAAGTCCCCCAGTTGCTGTGCTCTCCCTCCCTGAAGTGCACAGATTCTCTCTCCGTGCCATGCAGCCACTGCCAGGGAATGGGGAAGGGGTGGTGTTGGTGATTTAAGGCCATCTTTTCTGCCTTCTTCAGTGCCTCTTTCAGTGATAAGAAATTAAAAACAAGTACTGTGATGGCTCACCCAATTTTTAGTTCTTATGAAGGTGCTTTTTTGTTCACAGATAATTGTTTAAATTTAGTTTTCCTGTGGTAGTGGGAGTAGGGGGATGATCAATGTAGCCTTCTATTCTGCCATCTTGCTCTGCCCTTTTTGCTAAGCACTCTTCTACTGGAATAATAGTGTCTTTTTAGACTGAATCTGACAGTTTACTCTTATATTATGACCCATCCAAAATATGCCCAGTGGATTCAAATTCATGTAGTTCTATCTGTTCCATGTGTTTTAAGTTACACACACACACCGCACAGGCACACACACACACACACACACATAACCTGAATACACTTTATTTTCCTGACCCAAAGTAACTGCCAGAGGGGAAGACCCATTTCTGCACATGTTTGTATCCCACTTGGTGCTTGGTAAACACTTTTTGGCTGAAGTATAAAGATTTATAAAAGCTTCTTCTACTCTAAATAGGCCTATTTCCATAGCCTTACAAACTCACTCATTTAATCAACATTTACTGAGCATTGCTATGTTGATTACCCTAGGCACCAGGAACCAGAGACAACTAAGAATAGTTTTCAGTGAGCTCACTGTTTAAAAAGGCAGGCAGAAGAAATGACATTTACAACCATGTAAAAAATGCCCAATAAAGGTGTTCTGTCTACAGAGCTACGTGAAAATTGAAGGGAAACGTTTAAGTCTGCCTGGGTCACTGGAAAGTGTTGCATAAGATGCAGCTTTGGAGTTGCGTCTTAAGAGATGAGTGCAAACTGTGTGGAAATGAGACAGAGGGGTGTTCTAGAGTGACAAGCGTGTATATAAAGGCACAGATTTGGGAGAGTTTATCAGTCTTGTGTGGCTTGAGAACAGGATGCACTGAGTAAGTGCTGGTAGGTGAGATGGAAAGGAGAGATTACAGCTGGATTGTGAAGGCTTTAGGGTATTGGATTTATCCCTACAGTCATTGAGAGCATGTTGGAAGGTGTTTGAATGGGGAAGTAAAATGTAAGGTTTTAGACATATAATTCTGGCTGCACTATGGATAAGGTATTAGAGGAAGAAGGAATTGAAGCTTGAAAAACCTTGTTAGATGGTGATTGGAATAAAATCAACAAGAGAGAATGAAGAAGCAGTTGGGATAGAGAGTAGTAAGTGGTTTTGAACAATATGTAGGAGATTTAACTGACATATTTGGCAATTGAATTGACAGGACATGAGCAAAAAAGAGGAGTGTTTTGTATTTTTGTCCTGGGAAGCTAATGAATGAGACGACATTAATTTTAAAATTAATTAGAAAGAAGAAGCATATTCAGAAAGTGACTTGAAAGGGAGAGAAAAATGGCTTATTTTAGACATACATGTAGTTTGAGAGTCTATAAAGGTATCAGTAAAGAATTACAGCTCAGAAAAGATCTACATTAAAGTTATAATTGCGTGAATCATCAACACATATGTGGTAGTTGAAACCATGGAAGATGACTACCATGATATCTAAAAGTATATTATTGACAGTAGTCCCTTTAAAAATTATTTGAAGGCTTCTAGTGAAGCAAAATCATGGTAGTAGCATAGTTACTATTCCCAAATCCCTCATTAAAAAACAAAAAGCAGAGCAATTAGGAATGCAGAAGGAAAGGAAAAACAACAGAGGTAATTTTAACAAAAGTAATATAAGTAGGTGAGGCCAAACCACACAGTGCAGACACTGTTCAGAAATGGCAGAATTAGCAGCTGGGCAGCGATAAAAAAGAGGAGAGACAGGGCCAAGAGTTGTGGAACACAGATGTCACGAATAAATAGCATGACAAGAAAATGATCCTACTCTGAGTAGAACCCTCAGCAAATAGGTCTGAGACCAATCAGCCAAATTGAGGAAGGACTCCAGAGTGTGATTGGTTCCAGAGTGTGATTGGATGCAAGAAAGATTGTGCAGAACCACTAAAGGGCTTAAGAAGTGCCCAAGAAAAGTTGTCAGAATTATAATCCAAGTGGAGAAGGAACACAAGAGGTAAAGGAAAGAGATGTTCAGATCCTTGGGAGTTGGGGAGTCCAGAGATACAAATCCCAGAATTGTGGCCAAATTGTTGCATATAATACTTCCTTTTAACACCAGAGGAGGAAGCTCTTAACAGTGAAGATAACTATCCTGAAATATTCCCTCCTGCTTACACTCTCTTTCCCTAAAAGTACAGAAAACAATCTAATTCATTTAATAAGAACATCTGCAAACCTCCAAAAAGATACAGTAAGATAAAAGTATCAATAGCATACCAACATAATGAAAATTTGGCCTTTAAACAGATGAAAATATACTCAGTGTTACAAAATGAGCTAAGAGAAACAAAAAGAAAACTGTAGAAACAAATCAGAAATAGAAAATTCAAGAAATGAGATGAATAAATAACAGGAGAATGTAAAATGATAGCTGACGGTTTAGAAAAGAATTTTTAAAACTAAGGGTAAATTTCTCAGAATGTAGACTAAACACTAGAAGAAACTCAAGAATGACTGGGCAGAGAAAGTGTAATAAGCAAAATAAAAGGAGGGAAATGACAAGAATCAAAGAGAAATAAAAAAAGATTCAAGTGCAGATAATATATATAAAAGACAAGGAAATAAAATTCAATGAATATAGAGTCCCAGGAAAAGAAAACCACCAAAAATCATAACAGAACAAAACTTAATGGCTCAAATTGCCATATTGAAAGGGCACTCTATATACCTGGGAAAACTGACCCAGAATGGTCAATATCAAGACATACTCAGCTGGGTGCAGTGGCTCAAGCCTGTAATCCCAACACTTTGGGAGGCCAAGGTGGGTGGATCACTTGAGGCCAGGAGTTCAAGACCAGCCTGGCCAACATGGTGAAACCCTGTCTGTACTAAAAAATATACAAAAATTAGCTGGGCTTAATGGCACACTCCTGTAATCTCAGTTACTCGGGAGGCTGAGGCAGGAGAATCACTTGAACCCAGGAGGCAGAGTTTGCAATGAGCTGAGATTGTGCCAACAGAGCAAGAATCCATCTCAAAAAAAGGACATATTCTACTAAAAGATAAAAATATATTTGTGCATCTATGCAAAAGAATCAAGTCATTTATTAGGGAAAGAAAATCAAACTGACGCTAGACTTCTCAACAATACCACTTCATACTAGAAAACAGTGGAGCCACATATTTAAGATACTGAAGGAAAGAAAGTGTGAGCCAAAGATTTTATATCCTGCCAAACTGACTTTCAAGTTTAAAGGCCACAGGCAAATAGTTTTGAAGATGCAAGAACTCAATCTATATTGTTCCCATGAGCAATTCCTGAGGAATCCACGAGATGTCTATAGAGGAAACCATGACAAGCTTTGGCATAAAGTTGCTGCTTTGTGAATGATAATTAATGGCACTGATTATGACATCTCCTCTCTCTGTGAGTTGTGGACATTCTCTGATGGCATGCTTACTTTAACTTAGCAGACACACAGTCACAGAAGACTTTGCTCCAGAAAAAAGGGTTTACAAACCATCCTTCCATTCAGGATGGGGAGAAAAAGTCAAATATGTATCATTAAAAATGTCTTCTGAGTAGCCATTGGCAGTTATTTAACCACTTTTATATGAACAAAAGTAACTCACATAGTAGTTTAATAAAAAGCTGACATTCATTTTTATTATGTGAGAAACTCCTAGATGATGTTTTGACTTGTTAAAAAAGTGATAATATGGTAATGGTAATTTAAAAATATTTATTCAAAAGCTTACAAAAAGCTTTTGTCTATACTGAAAAATAATAATAATTAGGGCTTTCTGTTAAAAGATGTCACTAAAGGCATTTTTAAAAATTCCATTTTCCTCCTTTGAAACCCAACAAAAAACCCACTAAAAGAATGAAAGAGAAGGAACACTGTGTCTTCAATGAACAATGAAATGGCCACAATCCCAAACTATAAATTAAGAAACACACCTGCCAAAGACCATAAAATCTGGACCAGAATGAGGGGGAAGGCTGAGAGCTGACAAATATTTCCTCAGGCGCCGAGCAGGGTATAGATTTCCCTAGGAGTAAATGTGGCAGTCCTGAAAGGCCTGTTCTAGTTCTTTGATGACAGAGACTAGATCCTGGATCATGAAGTACCTCGGAAAAAAAACTGAGGATGTCCCTTGCAGAACCATGATGGGAGACATAGCTGAGGGAGAAGGCATATTTTTATGCCTCCTTGCCAAGGAAGGCTGCCAGAGATGAAGTGGTATGAAAGAAGGAGGGGGGAGGGGCAGCAATTGTTGGATTATTACACAGTAAGCCAGTTATTTAAGAGGCTCTTTTATTTGTCTCATCAACTATTCAAATTCGAAAATCTGAAAGGAGATGTGGGTAGAGGAAATAAGAGATTTGGTGACAGAATGTTGAAGACAACAAATGGATGTAAAGTCTCCTAGCTCGTTTCTCCCACCCGTGTTACTCACAAACAGCCAGCTGTATTCAAAGCACCAGCATAATATCTATGCACCAAAACTAGGGGGAAAAATCAAAAGGGAGGGAGGAAGTCATGGGATGGGGGAATGGAGCATAAAGCAAGAGTCACATGGATAACATAAGATTTTCCCCAGAGAAAAGTTGAGACAGATAGGTTCTATACTTCCAAGGAAGTTATAGTCTTGATGTCTAGGGAAAAAGTGGCTTTAAAGTGAGGTTTGAGTTCAAAAAAGAGACTATAAGACAACAGAAGGAGATGGAAAGACAACTGCAACAGTCAGGAAAAAAGAAAAATTTTTAAATGGCAGATACAAAAATAGCAAACACAAAACTTACATTACAAGCAACAACTTAAGAAAATAAAGGAAATGACTGGAAATAAAGGGAGATGGGATACAGACTGGAATAAGTCATATAAAATTATATGGAAAAGAACAAAGATGTAAAATTGGTTTTTAGTGGCCATAAGGGATATGGAAGACGGACAAAGGAGATCAAACATAAACACAATTGGTATTTGTTGAGAAGAACAAAACACATGGAACAGAAAAGTATTCAGAGACAAAATAAGGGGAATTAATTCCCTTTAATAAAAGCTTTTATCTGCAAGTCATAATAGCACAGCATGCGCCACTAAGCCTGTGTAAGATGCTGAACCTCGTGGATAAAGCAAAACCCCCTTTGAACAGAAAGTCAACCAAATAAACTAAAAATTCTCATCTTCATAGGAGCATTCAATGCAAGAGGACAATGGAGCAGGATCTACACAATTCTAAAGAAAAGCAAGCATGACTCAAGGATTTCCTCTTCATCCTGTGTTCTTCATGTAGAGAGACAGCAGAGAGGCAGTCAGAGAATACTGTCTGATAAGCCCTTGAAAAAGCTGTAGGGCCAAGATGAGATACAGAGATGACTCAAAACAGAGAATCCAGGAATGCATAGATCCTGGTAAAAAAGGTGGGAGATGAGTAATAAATTCATTTGTGTAGGATTAAGACTAATCAACTAACAATTATATTATAGAACATAACATAAATATCAGAAATCTTGACATTATCTAAATAATAAAATGAAAACTAATTGAGATTTGGAGAGATGAGGTAGATGATATAGTTTGGCTGTGTCCCCACCCAAATCTCATCTTGAATTGTAGTTCCCATAATTCCCATGTGTTGTGGGAGGGACTCAGTTGGAGATAATTGAATCATGGGGGCAGTTTCCCTCATACTGTTCTCGTGGTGGTAAATGAGTCTCACGAGATCTGATGGTTTTATAAGGGGTTTCCCTTTTCGCTTGGCTCTCATTCTCTCTTGCCTGCTGCCATGTAAGACGTCCCTTTGCCCTTCCTTTGTCTTCTGCCATGATTGTGAGGCTTCCCTAGCCACGTGGAACTGAGTCTATTAAACCTCTTTCCTTTATAACTTACCCAGTCTTGGGTATGTCTTTATTAACAACATAAGATTGGACTAATACAGTAGAGGAAATGTAAGTGTGCTTATTTCCTCATCCTTCTTAGTAGCAAGTCAATAAATACTCTCCTAAGTCAAATTGTCATTAAAAATAACTATCCAAATCTCTTGTTGGTTTATTTAATCTTCTTTATTAACTTTAGAGTGTTCTTTCGGGAATTAATCATGGTTTAAAAAATATCAAACATTCAACAACTCTAATTTTACTTTAATGTCTTTTTTTCTAATATATCTAATAAAATTGCATTAAATTTTTAAGTTGAAATTGCATGTATACACACTGATTATTACTATTCATGTTACTCTATATATGGCAGTTTGGGTGATTTTTTAAAAACTTTCCTTTTTATACATTTGTATTTCTTGGATACTTGGTAATGAGTATCATAAAATCAAAATCAGCCATGGCTGGCAAGATGGCCAAATAGGAACAGCTCTGGTCTGCAGCTCCCAGTGAGATCAACACAGAAGGCAGGTGATTTCTGTATGTCCAACAGAGGTACTGGCTCATCTCATTGGGACTGGTTAGACAGAGGGTGCAGCCCATGGAGGGCCAGCTGAAGCATGGTGGGGTGTCTCCTTACCTGGGAAGTGCAAGAGGTCAGGGAACTCCCTCCCCTAGCCAAGGGAAGCCGTGAGGGACTGTGCTGTGAGGAATGGTGCAATCTAGCCCAGGTACTACACTTTTCCCATGGTCTTTACAACCCACAAACCAGGAGATTCCCCCGGGTGCCTACACCACCAGGGCCCATGGGTTTCAAGCACGAAACTGGACAGCCATTTGGGCAGACATCAAGCTAGCTGCAGGAGGTTTTTTTCATACCTCAGTGGTGCCTGTAACACCAGTGAGACAGAACCGTTCACTTCCCTGGAAAGGGGGCTGAAGCCAGGCCTAGCTCAGCAGATCCCACCCCCACAGAGCCCAGCAAGCTAAGATCTACTGGCTTGAAATTCTCGCTGCCAGTACAGCAGTGCGAAGTTGACCTGGGATGCTCCAGCTTGGTGGGGGAAGGGGCGTCCACCATTACTGAGGCTTGAGTAGGCAGCTTACCCCTCACAGTGTAAACAAAGCCTCTGGGAAGTTCAAACTGGGTGGAGCCCACCACAGCTTGGCAAAGCCACTGTAGCCAGACTGCTTCTCTAGATTCCTCCCTTCTGGCAGGGCATCTCTGAAAGCAAGGCAGCAGCCACAGTCAGGGTCTTATAGATAAAACTCCCATCTCCCTGGGACAGAGTACCTGGGGGAAGGGGCAGCTGTGGGTGCAGCTTCAGCAGACTTAAATGTTCCTGCCTGCTGGCTCTGAAGAGAGCAGCAGATCTCCCAGCACAGTGCTCAAGCTCTGCTAAGGGATAGACTGTCTCCTCAAGTGGGTCCCTGACCCCTGCACCTCCTGATGGGGAGACACCTCTCAGTAGGGGCTGACAGACACTTCATACAGGAGAGTTCTGGCTGGCATCTGGCAGGTGCCCCTCTGGGATGAAGCTTCCAGAGGAAGGAACAGGCAGCAATCTTTGCTGTTCTGCAGCATCTGCTGGTGATACTCAGGCAAACCAGGCCTGGAGTGGACATCCAGCAAACTCCAGCAGACCTGCAGCAGAGGAGCCTGACTATTAGAAGGAAAATTAACAAACAGAGAGGAATAACATCAACATCAACAAAAAGGATGTCCACACAGAAACCCCGGAAACCCCACTTGAAGGTCATCAAAAGACCATCAAAGACCAGAGGTAGATAAATTCACAAAGATGTGGAAAAACCAGCACAAAAAGGCTGAAAATTCCAAAAACCAGAACACCTCTTCACCTGCAAAGTGTCACAACTCCTTGCCAGCAAGGGAACAAAACTGGACAGAGAAGGAATTTGACAAATTGACAGAAGTAGGCTTCAGAAGGTCAGTAATAACAAACTCCTCCAAGTTAAAGGAGCATGTTCTAACCCAATGCAAGGAAGCTAAGAACCTTGAAAAAGGGTTAGAGGAATTGCTAACTAGAATAACCAGTTTAGAGAAGAACAAAAATGACCTAATGGAGCTGAAAAAAACAGCACGAGAACTTCATGAAGCATACACAAGTATCAATAGCCAAATTGCTCAAGCAGAACAAGGATATCAGAGATTGAAGATGAACTTAATGAAATAAGCATGAAGAGAAGATTAGAGAAAAAAGAATGAAAAGGAAAAAACAAAGCCTCCAAGAAATATGGGACTATGTGGAAAGACCAAACCTACGTTTGTTTGGTGTACCTGAAAGTGAGGGGAGAATGGAACCAAGTTGGAAAACACTCTTCAGGATATTATCAAGGAGAACTTCTCCAACATAGCAAGAAAGGCCAACATTCAAATTCAGGAAATACAGAGAATACCACAAAGATACTCCTCTAGAAGAACAACCCCAAGACACATAATCGTCAGATTTACCATGATTGAAATGAAGGAAAAAATGTTAAGGGCAGCCAGAGAGAAAGATTGGGTTACCCACAAAGGGAAGCCCATCAGACTAACAGTGGATCTCTCTGCAGAAACCCTACAAGCCAGAATAGAATGGGGCCAATATTCAACATTCTTAAAGAAAAGAATTTTCAACCCAGAATTTCATATCCAGCCAACCTAAGCTTCATAAGCGAAGGAGAAATAAAATCCTTTACAGGCAAGCAAATGCTGAGAGATTTTGTCACCACCAGGCCTGCCTTACAAGAGCTCCTGAAGGAAGCACTAAACATGGAAAGGAACAACCGGTACCAGCCACTGCAAAAACATACCAAATTGTAAAGACTGTCAACACTATGAAGAAACTGCATCAACTAACAGTCAAAATAACCAGCTAGCATCATCATGACAGGATTAAATTCACACATAACAATGTTAACATTAAATGTAAATGGGCTAAATGCCCCAATTAAAAGACAGAGACTGGCAAATTGGATCAAGAGTTAAGACCCATAGGTGTGCTGTATTCAGGAGACCCATCTCATGTGCAAAGACACACATAAGCTCAAAATAAAGGGATGGAGGAATATTTACCAAGCAAATGGAAAGCAAAAAAAAAAAAAAAAAAAGCAGGGGTTGCAGTCCTAGTCTCTGATAAAACAGACTTTAAACCAACAAAGATCAAAAAATACAAAGAAGGGTATTACATAATGGTAAAGAGATCAATGCAACAAGAAGAGCTAACTGTCCTAAATATACATGCACCCAATACAGGAGCACCCAGATTCATAAAGCAAGTTCTTAGAGACCTACAAAGAGACTTGGACTCCCACACAATAATAGTGGGAGACTTTAACACCCTACTGTCAACATTAGACAGATCAACAGACAGAAAATTAACAAGGATATTCAGGACTTGAACTCAGCTCTGGACCAAGTGGACCTAATAGACGTCTACAGAACTCTCCACCCCAAATCAACAGAATATACATTCTTCTCAGCACCATATCACACTTATTCTGAAATTGACCACATACTTGGAAGTAAAACACTCCTCAGCAAATACAAAAGAGTGGAAATTTTAACAAACAGTCTCTCAGACCACAGTGCAGTCAAATTAGAACTCACGATTAAGACACTCACTCAAAACTGCACAACTACATGGAAACTGAAGAACCTGCTCCTGAATGACTACTGGGTGAATAACAAAATTAAGGCAGAAATAAATACGTTATTTGAAACCAATAAGAACAAAGACACAATGTACCAGAATCTCTGGGACACAGCTAAAGCAGTGTTTAGAGAGAAATTTATAGCACTAAATGGCCATAGGAGAAAGCAGAAAAGTCTAAAATTGACACCCTAACATCACAATTAAAAGAACTAGAGAAGCAAGAGCAAACAAATTCAAAAGCTAGCAGAAGACAAGAAATAACTAAGATCAGAGCAGAACTGAGAGAGATAGAGACATGAAAAACTCTTCAAAAATATCAATGAATCCCAGAGCTGGTATTTTGAAAAGATTCGCAAAATACATAGACAGCTAGCCAGACTAATAAAGAAGAAAAGAGGACACAATCAAATAGACACAATAAAAAATGATAAAATCACCATTGATCCCACAGAAATACAAACTATCATCAGAGAATACTATAAACACCTCTACGCAAATAAGCTAGAAAATTTAGAAGAAATGGATAAATTCCTGGACACATACACCCTCCCAAGACTAAACCAGGAAGAAGTCAAATTCCTGAATAGACCAATAACAAGTTCTGAAATTGAGACAGTAATTAATAGCCTACCAACCACAAAAAGCCCAGGATCAGACAGATTCACAGCTGAATTCCACCAGAGGTACAAAGAGGAGCTTGGTACCATTCCTTCTGAAACTATTCCAAACAATAGAAAAAGAAGGACTCCTCCCTAACTCATTTTATGAGGACAGCATCATCCTGATACCAAAACCTGGCAGAAACACAACAAAAAAAAAGAAAATTTCAGGCCAATATCCCTGATGAACATCAATGCGAAAATCTTCAATAAAATATTGGCAAACTGAATCCAGCAGCACATCAAAAAGATTATCCACCACGATCAAGTCAGCTTCCTCCCTGGGATGCAAGGCTGGTTCAACATACGAAAATCAATAAACATAATCCATCACATAAACAGAACCAATTACAAAAACCACATGATTATCTCAATAGATGCAGAAAAGGCCTTTGATAAAATTCAACACCCCTTCATGCTAAAAACTCTCAATAAACTAGGTATTGATGAAATGTATCTCAAAATAATAAGAGCTATTTATGACAAACCCACAGCCAATATACTGAATGGGCAAAAGCTGGAAGCATTCCCTTTGAAAACTGGCACAGGACAAGGATGCCCTCTCTCACCACTCTTATTTAACATAGTATTGGAAATTCTGGCCAGGGCAACCAGGCAAGAGAAAGTAATAAATGGTATTCAAATAGGAAGAGAGGAAGTCAAATTGTCTCTGTTTGCAGATGACATAATTATATATTTAGAAAACCCCATCATCTTAGCCCAAAATCTCCTTATGCTGATAAGCAACTTCAGCAAAGTCTCAGGATACAAAATCAATGTGCAAAAATCACAAGCATTCCTATACAACAATAATAGACAAACAGAAAGTCAAATCATGAGTGAGCTCCCATTCACAATTGCTACAAAGAGAATAAAGTACCTAGGAATACAGCTTACAAGGATGTGAAGGACCTCTTCAAGGAGAACTACATACAAACCACTGCTCAAGGAAATAAGAGAGGACACAAACAAATGGAAAAACATTCCATGTTCATGGATATGAAGAATCAATATTGTGAAAATGGCCATACTGCTGAAAGTAATTTATAGATTCAATGGTATCTCCATCAAGCTACCTTTGACTTTCTTCACAGAATTAGAAAAAAGTACTTTAAATTTCATATGGAACCAAAAAAGAGCCTGTATAGCCAAGAAAATCCTAAGCAAAAAGAACAAAGCTGGAGGCATCATGCTACCTGACTTCAAACTATACTACAAGGCTACAGAAACCAAAACAGTATGGTACTGGTACCAAAACAGATATATAGACCAATGGAACAGAACAGAGGCCTCAGAAATCATGCCACACATCTACAACCATCTGATCTTTGACAAACATGACAGAAACAAGCAATGGGGAAAAGATTCCCTATTTAATAAATGGTATTGGGATAACTGGCTATCCATATGCGGAAAACTGAAACTGGACCCCTTCCTTACACCTTATACAAAAATTAACTCAAGATGTATTAAAGACTTAAACATAAGACCTAAAACCATAAAAACCCTATAAGAAAAACTAGGCAGTGCCATTCAGGACATAGACATGGGCAAAGACTTCATGACTAAAATACCAAAAACAATGGCAACAAAAGCCAAAATTGACAAATGGGATCTAATTAAACTGAAGAGCTTCTGCACAGCAAAAGAAACTATCATCAGACTAACAGGCAACCTACAGAATGGGAGAAAAATTTTGCAATCTATCCATCTGTCAAAGGGCTAATATCCAGAATCTACAAGGAACTTAAACAAATTTACAAGAAAAAACCCCATCAAAAAGTGGGTGAAGGATATGAACAGATACTTCTCCAAAGGAGACATTTATGCGGCCAACAAACATATGGAAAAAAGCTCATTAGAGAAATGCAAATCAAAACCACAATGAGATACCATCTCACACCAGTTAGAATGGCGATCATTAAGAAGCCAGGAAACAACAGATGCTGGAGAGGATATGGAGAAATAGGAATGCTTTTACACTGTTGGTGGGAGTGTAAATTAGTTCAACCATTGTGGAAGTCAGTGTGGCAATTCCTCAAGGATCTAGAATCAGAAATACCATTTGATCCAGCAATCCCATAACTGGGTATATACCCAAAGGATTGGAAATCATTCTACTATGACACATGCACACATATGTTTATTGCAACACTGTTCACAATAGCAAAGACTTGGAACCAACCCAAATGCCCATCAATAATAGACTGGATAAAGAAAATGTGGAACACCATGGAGTACTATGCAGCCACAAAAAAGGATGAGTTCATGTCCTTTGTCGGGACATGGATGGAACTGGAGACCATCATTCTCAGCAAACTAACACAGGAACAGAAAACCAAACACTGCACGTTCTCACTCTTAAGTGGGAGTTGAACAATGAGAACACATGGACGCAGGAAGGGGAACATCACACACTGGGGCCTGTCAGGGGGTGGGGGGCTAGGGAAGGGATAGCATTAGAAGAAATACCTAATGTAGATGACGGGTTGATGGGTGCAGCAAACCACCATGGCACATGTGGACCTGTATAACAAACCTGCACATTCTACACATGTATCCCAGAACTTAAAGTATAATAATTTTAAAAAGGCCGGCCGTGGCTTCTCACGCCTATAATCCCAGCACTTTGGGAGGCCGAGGCAGGTGGATCACGAGGTCAGGAGTTTGAGACCAGCCTGGCCAAGATGATAAAACCCCATCTCTACTAAAAATACAAAAAGTAGCAGGGTGCAGTGGTGGGCGCCTGAAATCCCAGCTACTTGGGAGGCTGAGGCAGGAGAATCGCTTGAATCTGAGAGGCAGAGATTCCAGTGAGCTGAGATCATGCCACTGCACTCTATCTAGCCTGGGTGACAGAGCAAGAATCCATCTCAAAAAACAAACAAACAAACAATGGACATGCCCATAGGCAGATGAATGGATAAAGAAAATATGGTACTGTATATACATACAATGAAATATTTTACAGCCTTAAAAATGTAGGAAACTCTGCCATTTGTTGCAAGATGGATGAACCTAGAGGACATTATGCTAAGTGAAATAAGCCAGTTAGGGAAAAACAAATGTTGCATGATTCCATTACATAAGGTATCTAAAATTGTCAAACTCATAGAAGCATAGAATACAATAGTGGTTTCCCCATACTGGGGGAATGGGGAAAATGGGGAGTTGTTAAATGGTTATAAAGTTTCAATTATACTAGCTGAATAAGTTCTAGAGATCTGCGGAAAAACATAGTGCCTATAGGCACAGTTAACAATAGATAGTGTGCAATTCAAAATTTATTAAGAAGGTAGATCTTATGTGAAGTGTTCTAGTCATAAATAAACAAAACAAAACAAACAGGCAACAAAAAACAAAAGGGAACTTCGGAAAGTGTTGGATATGTCTGTTACTCCGATTGTGGTAATGGTGTCATATGGTGTTTGCATTAAGCCCAAACCCATCACATTGTACACATTAGACATGTGTAGTTCTTTGTATATCAATTATACCTCAACAAAACTATTAAAAGGGTCAAATTTTAAAAATGAAAATAAAAAATGAATGGCTAAAAAATAAATTAGATATTAATTGCAATGCCAAAAAAATCCCACGATAATAAATTACTGGAAATTACTATCTCCAAAAGAAAGAGTGAGATGGAAGGAGGGGGAGGGCGGTAGAGAGGACATGACTGAAGGAAAAAGAGAAAGAAAGAAAGGAAGAGAAGGGAGGGGAGGGAAGGGGAGGAGAGGAGGAAGAAACTCTCCATGACATAAAAGATGTTCAAGCCTAGGAAATGGCTTTCTTCTTGGCACATCCGTACTGAAAATTTCCTCTTGTTTCACCCTTGGAGACTTTGCTGTTGTTGGCTGGGTCTGCCTGCTCATGCTCCATTTGACTCTGTTGCACAACTCTCATTTCAGTGTTCTGTCAGTTGTGGTGTTGGAATCCAGAGAAGAAAGCAGGTGTGTCAAAGGCTGGCAGCCAAAGGTCGGCGCATCCCCCTCAGTGAGATGATGTGCAGGGATCTACCAGGGCTCCCTCTTGTAAGATCTTGCCAGATGCCTGAGTGCAGTAGTAAGTATGCGGTGTCCGCGCTTCACCAAGATATGCTGATTCTGTTCATTTTGTCCCGATGTCTTTATTTTCCATACGTCAACAGATTTCTAATCTGTGGGTAAGGCAACTCAAGCTGTACTCAGTGTTGTTTTCGGCAGCGATCAGTAGAACGTGGAAGACCAAGATATAGTTCTAAGAAAAGTCTGTTTTAAGAAATGTCCGCCCACTTAACAAATGCATCTTTTAGGCTTCCTCATTTGGATTTATGTCCTCTACTTTACCATAATTCCTTCTGCTTAGAGTTCAGGAGTGTTCCATGTAGAAGTTAAGCCAAAATACCTCCTGGTTCACTTTGCTAGGATTGCATTTGGACTTAATTAAAAGTAGAAGAGCTACGTATTTTTAAGCATTCAAGTATTTTTTCTTGTGTATAATCTAAAATTGGCAAGGATAAAAACATGAAAGAACTTTGATTTAAAAATGGCAGTTTGTACACCTCAATTAATTATGAATAATGAGCTTACTATAAAGAGTTCATATTATGGCTTCATTATAGCCAAAGCTAATATGCATGTAGCATTCATCTGTATTTTCAGTGTACATGATAGAATATATTTTTACACATGAATATGTATGTTTCATATAAGAGTTATGTGGGCCAGGCGCAGTGGCTCACGCCTGTAATCCTAGCACTTTGAGAGACTGAGGTGGGTGGATCATGAGGTCAGGAGATCAAGACCATCCTGGCTAACATGGTTAAACCCCGTCTCTACTAAAAATACAAAAAATTAGCCGGGCTTGGTGGCACACTCCTGTAGTCCCAGCTACTCGAGAGGCTGAGGCAGGAGAATCACTTGAACCTGGGAGGCGGAGGTTGCAGTGAGTCGAGATCGCACCATTGCACTCCAGCCTGGGCGACAGAGTGTGAGACTCTGTCTCAAAAAAAAAAAAAAAAAAAGAAAGAAAGAAAAAAAGAGTTGTGTGTTAAAACATGTAAGCCGAGGGCGGCCATGACAGCCATGACAGCAATTGAAAAGCAGGCAGCAGAGTGGTGGTGAGGAGGTTGGGAAGGGAGGTAGGGAACAGGCATAGTGGAAATAACAGCTTTGGAGTTCATTTACCACTTTTTCACTATCTTTAATTACTCACCTGTGAAATAACATTTATTATATCAGTTACCCTCCTGAACGTTTGGTAAGGAAAAAAATTAAAAATGAACTATTCTTATTTTAATGCTGCTTAGGAGAGGAAAACATATATATATATATGTCTTTTATATATATGTTTTATATATATGTTATATATATATGATATATAACATATATATAAAACTTCAATTTACCAACACCTTTCCTGGAGAAACTCACAAAACAAAATAAGACAAATAATTAAGTTTTTTTTAAGTAGTGACATTTATTGAGCAATTACTATGTGGAGTTCTTTGCATGCATTATCTCATTTAGTCCCCTGAACAACATTGTGAGGCAGATACTATCTCCATCTGGAGATGAGAAACCCAAGCCATAGAAAAGGCATGAGACTTGCCTAAGGCTCCCTGGCTGCCAGCTGAACTGCTTGACCACAAGTCTGTCTGATTCTTTAGCCCACGTTTTTAGCTGCCTCTCTATGCTGATTCATGGACAACATTAACATTTTTTTCCTGAGGAACACATTTCCAAAATCTTGAGTCCAAAAACTTGAGATTCCAAGTTGTAAAGTCTCCTGGAATTCAGGAGTGTCTGTAGCATATGGCGTACTATCATGCTTCGTTCAAGTTGCCTCTCTATCTGATTTTTATTAATTGCGGATGGTTGCATAGCAGTGTGGCTAGACTGTAAAAACTGCCTTAGAGGAGAGTGAAATTAAAGTGATACTGGCAGCTTCCTCTAAAATAATAACAGAATAGCATGTGGAAATACAACGTGGTTATTATGGCATCCAATGTGGTACAAGATGAAATTATAAATTATTTTGGCATGCATTGAGGAGCAGAGAAAATTACAAGTTGTAGGGAGAAAGAAAAAACACAAGAAAAAAAGACAGTAATATTTTTTCTTTACTCCACCCCACTCCTGCCTGCCAAACATGTAGGTCATGAAGGTAGACAAGAGACAGGAATGCATGCTCCCAGCACAGCCAACGCACCCTGAGTTGGGCCCCCACTTCAGCTGTAGCCTCGCCTCACTCCATAATCTTTGATCACTAGCCCTTGCTTGCTGAAATGTAGGTTCTGCTTCTACACTTTCACATAGCATCCTCTTCACCACCATATGACAGAGCAAGAGATGAGGTTGGCATTCTCTTATCCTCTCTACACCGTTTCCCTGCTGTCTTCACACACTTAGCACGTAGATTGCCCCGTCTCATACCTTCAAAGGCACCATGTGCAGACCCTACAAGACACTCTTCACCCTTCTTCAGGACACACCACCACCAGGACCATGATTTCTCTCCAACGTTTCCTAACATCCAAGACAACCAATATCTGTGATGATGACCTTTCTAACACCTGATATCCCAATTTCCCAACCTCATCAATTCCACTGACCCCATCACCTTGGCATGGTAACCCCTTAGACTTCCTCACTACTTGGCACTCAGAATTAGCTTCTTGTTCTGCCTTACCCTCAACTCACTCCTGCTTATTTAGTTAGTGCCTCACCATGACCTCTGGTTCTTCCATATCTCCTTATTATCCCCAGTTTCTGCTCTTGCACTAGAAACCTTAGCCGGCATTCCTTAGGTCTCCACTTAACCAACTCTATCGCCAAATCTTTATACCTTTCATTAACCTCCTGTACTGACCCCTGCTCAGCTTCAACCCTGGTATTACCTTTCAAGTGATTTGTTTGTTGGTGGGTTGGTTCCCTAGCCTGAGCCACCAGGATTTCCTAAAGAAAATAATATCACCGTGCTAATTTGATATGTTTCATATTTATGCTATTTTAGAGGGGCAATAATGGCTTTGTGCCCTATTTTCTAAGAATGCCCTAGAAATTCACCATAGCAACTATTTCCTAACTACTGTACTGACCCATTTCTCTATCAATGAACTTGTCTTTCATTCCATTAGGAATATCAAGGCTAAAGTGGCATAATGTCGTGATTTTCCTCTCTGTTTCACCTCAAATCTACCCCCTCTCCTCCTCAGATTAGAAATGTATGATCTACTCCATCCATTATGGAAGGGGGTCCGTAGACAAGAAAATCAGGCCCAGTAGTGCTGTGAACTTTATTTTCTACCAAGGTTTCAATTCTAGAAAATGTGGCCTAATCGGTGCCTTGGGTTTAAGTAAAACCCATCCTCTTTGGAGGGGTAATTTTTCTTGGCTCTGACCCTTTTGGTGTGCAGCAGGTCCAAGTCAGGTGGGAAAGATGTCTTCTGCTCCCCCTAGAGGCCAACAGCATACCCTATAGTCCAATGACACCCACCGCCTGCTTCTCCCCAAACAATCCCTGCACAGTCCCCTTGTTCAAATTCTTTCTGTCCCCATAGCTAGTGACTGAAGTTCTTCCTGCTCCTGAAGGGTCAACACAAACCCTACCTTCCCCAGTAAGCTTTCTCAGTCGCACTTAATGTCTGAAGGATAATATGACATTGTGGTTGAGCTAACTCACCTGAGTTCAAATCCTAGTTCTTCCAGTACCTCATCATGTGACACTGAGCAAGTTATTTAACCTATGTGGGTCTCAGTTTTCTCATCTGTAAAATGAGAATAGTCTTTATACCTACCTCACGGGACCATTCTGAGAATCATGAATTAATACCTATAAAGTGCTTCGAATCAATGCCAGGCACACACTAAAAGCTCAAAAATATTGATTATTTTTAAGGTCTTTTTATCTCATTTCTATTATAGATTTAACACAGGATAAAATGTAATAAGTAAGTTGTGTTGTATATTCTGGCCTATTAGGGTATGAGCTTGTATGGGGTAGGTACACAGCACCTCTGGATATTCTGTTTTGTCTTTTTCTATATAATCCCCCAACATGTTTATCAGAATGAATTGTATTCATGGACATTCTTTTTAAATATGTTAGATGTGGTTCATTCTCAAAGTGCTGTTAGAAATCTACCTATCTTGGTTTCCAATCAGGCATCTGTAGAAAAGAAGGATAACAGAAATATGTAGTGTTTGATTTTAGATTTTTTAAATTATGACTTTTAGGGTTCCTGAGCTTTGGTAAAGAAGAATTTTTATTTTTCCCCAAAGTACTGAGATCAGGATGGATTAGGGAAGAGGAACCCAGGCATGCCCTATTTTATTGAAATGTCAAGAAAAATATGCCTCAGCCCCTTCCCAGGGCTATCTCAAATCTACTCTCATCTCTCCCGCCTGTGGTCTCTCTCCTTGTACTGGCACACAGCCTGCGTCTTTTTTTTTTTTTTTTTTTTTTTGAGACGGAGTCTCGCTCTCGCCTAGGCTGGAGTGCAGTGGCGCGATCTCAGCTCACTGCAAGCTCTGCCTCCCGGGTTCACGCCATTCTCCTGCCTCAGCCTCCTGAGTAGCTGGGACTACAGGCACCTGCTACCATGCCCGGCTAATTTTTTTGTATTTTTAGTAGAGACGGGGTTTCACCATGTTAGCCAGGATGGTCTTGATCTCCTGACCTTGTGATCCACCCACCTTGGCCTCCCAAAGTGCTGGGATTACAGGCGTGAGCCACTGCACCTGGCCAGCCTGCGTCTTTAGTTCTCCAGCCTCCTACACACCTCTTGGACTTTACCATTAGAATATGGTCTCCCCTGCTCTAACTCCTCCTCTAGCTTTGCTAGTTCTGGCTGCTTCCAGTAACACCCATCCCTGCTTGTCATAGCTACAGTCGTAGAGACCCAGCCAGGCAGAGGCCTACCTCACCAGCACCCTCTTGGGCTGGCGGCACTTCCTGCAGGGTCCCAGGACGTACGTGTTACTTTTTCTTTTACTCATTCATTGCCTTAATTCATTCAACAAACAGAAGGCAGTGGTCAGTGACACTGGGTGGTTAGAGGTCAGGAAGAAATTCACAGAGGAGGAACTCTTGAGCAGACTTCTGAATGACATGTCTGTTCATCGGGCCCACATGTGGGTAGATACAGAAGAATGTGAGGAAGGAGAGCAGTGTGGATAAAAGTAGGGGGTGTCAAATGGAGTGGTAAGTTTGGGGGAACTTCAGCAGATTCCATAGGACTAGAACATAGGTTCAAGAGAGAGCTTGCAAAGTTAGCTATAGAGACTCTTGAACTCCATGTGAAGGAGTTAAAATTGTATCCAAGAAGGAAGTGACTTGGTCAGGTTTTATTTTAGTTCATTTACTCTAAGAGCTATATAGATATATTGGGGAAATATGAGAGTATGGCTGGGAGTCTAGTGAAGGGGATATGACAATATCTTGGTGAGAGAGCATGAGAGTAGAAGCAATGGGGATGAATTCTAATGATGTTTCACATGTGTCCTCTAAATTCCCGATGCCTGATGAGAGTTGGGAGCTATAGGACAGAGACGGTGGTGGGTTTGTGAATATTGAACAGCTGGCTTCGGTAGTAGGGTGGTGAGTGGGGAGAGGTAGCTATCATTTGTTGTGGTCGCCTATTTCCATAGTGTAAATACTCCCATTGTAGCTGTTTTCCAGCTACCAATGTGATGTCATTGAATGCAGAGTTGGGAATAGTTGCTAGCAGTCTCATTGACTTGTGTTTCAGGGAGAGGCAGGGCCAGCACACCACTGGACAGGAGGAAATCTAGATCAGTGGTCTACAGCCATTTTGGCACCAGGGACCAGTTTCATGGAAGACAGTTTTTCCACGGACCAGTCGTAGGGGATGGTTTTGGGATGATTCTAGCACATTAAATGTATTGTGTACTTTCTTTATATTATTATTACATTGTAATGTGTAATGGAATAGTTATATAACTCACCATGATGTAGAATCAGTGAGAGTCCTGAGCTTGTTTTCCTGCAACTAGATGGTCCCATCCGGGGTTGATGAGAGACAGAGACACATCATTAGGCATTAGATTCTCATAAGGAGCCCGCAACCTAGATCCCTCACGTGCACAGTTCACAGTAGGGTTTGTGTTCCTATGAGAATCTAATGCCACCACTCATCTGACAGGAGGCGGAGTTCAGGCAGTAATGGCAGTGATGGGGAACGGCTGTAAATACAGATGAAGCTTCGCTCACTGGCCTTACTCACCTCCTGCTGTGAGGCCTGATTCCTAACAGGGGGTTCGGTGGTTGGGGACCCATGATCTAGATGATTCCCTGGTTTCTGGCTTGAGTAAATTGGCAGAAGTTGACGCCATTAACTTGGGGAATATAAGAAGAGGAGAATAATTGGGATGGGATAGGGTAGGGGGCATATAACATGTTGAGATCAGGGGTCCCCAACCCCCAAGCCATGGACGGATACTGGTCCATAGCCTGTTGGGAACTGAGCTGCACAATAGGAGGTGAGCGGGAGGCAAGCAGGCATTACCACCTGAGCTCTGCCTTCTGTCAGATCAGCAGCGGCATTAGCTTCTCATGGGAACACAAACCCTATTGTGAACTGCGCATGCGAGGGATCTAGGTTGCAGCTCCTTATGAAAATCTAATGCCTGATGATCTGAGGTGGAACAGTTTCATCCCAAAACCATCTAGCCCCCAATCCCCACCCCGACAACTGGTTTGTGGAAAAACTGTTTTCTATGAAACCAGTACCTGGTGCCAGAAAGGTTGGGGACTGCTGGTTTAGATTATGATCATTTAAACTTGAGGGACCTGGAAGAGATTTCCAGTAAGAAGTGGATAATTAGGTCTGAAGTTCCAGAAAGAGATCTAGGCTAGACAGATAAACTTGAAGGCATTAACCTAGAGTTGTTAGTTAAAACTACAAAATCATCCAAGGAAAAGCATAGAGCAAGAGAGATAGTGGCTGTGCATTGGCACCTGAGGGGTAGAAACAGCCAGCTGGGTACTGGCAATGGTGGTCAGAAAGGACCAGAAAAAAAAAGGTAAAAAAAAAATCTTGGGGAGGAGAGACTTCTTCATGAAGTGAGTGATTAAAGTTACCACATGCCCTAAGACGGTCAAGTAAGAATACTGAAGAGAAGGCACTGAATTTGTCACTAGGGGGCCCTTGGTTGTCTCTTCCAAGTAACATTTAATGTGGTGTTGGGAGCAGAAGCCAGACTGAAATTGGTGGAAGAGTAACACAGAAGCAACCTGAATTTACTGTAGCCGGGCCTCCATGGGCCTCAGGGGCCTCCACTGCTCATTTCAGAATCCACCCACAGCATCCCTGGTGGCCTCCTCTCAGCCCACTGTGTTCAGAGAAGCCTGAAGAGAATCCAAAGTATCTGCCCAGGTTCTTGGTACAGCTTCAAATGAGCTTCTCAGATCTTTACTCCTATTGGGAGGAGTGGAAACCAGCACCAGCCCAGCAGCCATATTCAGGGCTGGTTCCTGAGAGGCCAGGGTTCCAGCAGGGTAATAGGAAGGTATTGATGCTGTGTCATGGCCAGAGCAAATGCTGCCAAGACCATGCAGAAATATCCAGCCAGATGGCTTGGGGTAGAAACCTGGCCTGGCACCAGGACTTGAAGCCATGCCAGGGATATGACTGGAGTAAAGGCAGGACCCAGTAAGCAAGGAGCTGAGGTCATTGCCATAGATGGCCTTGGGCACCCAGAACTGGCCTTGACTGGGTGTGGCAGACTGCACAAAGACCCAGAGAGAGGAGTTACAGAAGAAAGCTCATTTCATTTTCTAGAATGTGGCATTTCTCACATTTAGCACAGTGGGAGAGGTGGAGGGATGGGTTAATGCTCTTGCACAGCCCAGCAGCCCCTTCAGGAGGGTGCTGCAGTTGGTACCTGGCCACTGTCTGCAGAGTGCATGATGCCCCTGCCTAATCAGGCTTGGCCAGTGTTGCTGTTTTGGGGCATCTCCAGATGAGAGAGGAAGGTCACCCCAAACCAGACCGGTTTCTTGCCCAAGAACTATGTTTGATGATGCCACGTTCCAGGCATTGCTCTCAAGGAACTCACAGGAGCCCCAAGAAAGGAAGTGGCTCAAACTGTGGAACCTGGCAGCCTGGCAGAGCCCATGAATTCCGATCTCTGGCTGGAATCCCCGTTTACTCCCCAGGCACACCTGCCAGTCAAAATGCCCCATACCCCAGTGTGAGCAATGGCCAAAGCAGAGTTGGGAAAGGGACCATCTGGGGCCACAAGGCCTGCCTTCCAGTAAATGGGCATGCAGCCACAGGGAGCAGCTGGGCTTCTTCTGTGTTCACCCCACCATTTGGGCAGGCTCTTCACCAAGGCTATGCCCTGCCCACCACCTGAGGCTTCATGGCCTCCCTTAGAAGGAGTCAGAATCCCATCAACTTTAAGCCCCAAGCTCAGCTGAGGGACATGTGGTACCAGTGGAAATGAGCATCACTGGAACCCACTTTCCTGCTGGTCCCAGGGCACCAGGATGCTTTGTGGGTTTCATGTTAGAATCAGGTCATCCCCAGCTTGAGCTGTTTAGCCAGACGTTTCCCCATGTGTGCTTCCGCACCATCCCAGTGAGAGCAAGAACATTCAAGCTTCCACCCGATCTGTAGCAGCCACTGCTACCTTGAAACAATCGATCTCCACATATTCCTTAGTTGTATTAATTCAAAAGTTTGACTGAACACAGTTTATGCTCTGCTTGCAAAGAAGTGAGTTACAAAACCATCCATGTGCACATCCATCTTTTATATTGTCCACCACTGAAAGGCCCATAGCCAGACAGTGTCCACCTGGATCTTTTTAAATAAAAATGATACTTACACGGGTAGGCATACCTTGCCTTGTTACAATAGGCTACTTCTAAGTATTCATAACATGCAATCCAATTAGTAAAAATAGAAGCAGGTGAGTAATAAAAAAAGGAGAACAAACAACGTTAATATGTGATTGTGTCTTGAATTTTATATTCCTTTTACATGTAGGCACTAATTTGGCTCCAAACTTGCTTTAACAGCCATCTTGAAAAAGGCAACCTTGCCAATTGCAGTTTAGGAATTCATTAGATAGGAAATGAGCTAATTACTCAGAGTAAAGTATAATGATTTCTGATGCTAAAACCAGAAAGAAATCCTCCCATGATCCTCTTGCAGAAGACACTGGATATTGTGAAGACTAGAATGTGCTCATAGACAACACAGATGCTGCTTCCTATTTTCCCTTCCCTCTTGACCAGCAGCTTCCTGTCAAATTGTCTTTCAGTGAAAGAAACTGGGTCAGGAATGCCTTTCTCTAGTGCTTTGGCTTAATTCATGGTACATGCTGGGGTAATGGTCCTCGAACTTTGCTGCACATTTCAGTCAACTGGGGAACTTTAAAAAATTCTGATGTCCTGGCTGCACCCCGTAAGTCAGAATTTCTGGGGATGGGACCCAGGATACTGAGATTAGTGAATACTAACAATAACAGGTGATTCTAACAAATAGCAAAATTTGAGAGCCATTTTTTTTAGAGCATCTGTGGTCAGAGTTGATATTGAACCTGCACATACCAGTATGGACATGGTCAGAAATATGGTCAGAAAAAAAAGAATTAGTAAACAGCCTCTGCTGGAACCCCATGAGCATTTCTCACCTGCTCAGGCCACTCTGCCAGTAACCGCCTGACTTGTCCATAATCGAACAACTATGGGGTTAACACTTCGTACCATAGTAGGCCTCCAAGACCCTATTCCAGTGCTATGGCCAGACACATTCTGTTGATTGAGCCCTTGCTGTGAAGATTTAGTATTTTGAACACCATCTATATTATCTATAGTAATGGATTGACTATAAATTTACCAGGGAGTCTTCCATACATGTTTTTCAGCTTTTGATTGTTGAACAGTAGAAAGTTCAAAATTGTATTCTAGCCAAATTAGGGGAAATTTACATGGCTTAACTGGCTGGGCCATTTGACATACTTTGTAGATACTCTGTCTCCCAAAAAGTAAAAGTATGTATGTGGCAGTTCATCCAGCTCCACTTAGAGATGATGTGACAGAGCATTTTCAAGCAGAACCCTGGACCCATCCTGAGATCAATAGGCCTGACCTACCAATTGCATCTGTATGGAATTTGTATACAAACAAATTATGTATGTCCTTCACTGAGAACATTCTCTACCACAGAAATTATGGGTTCACCTCCATTGTTTCCCTGAACCTGTTGACACCACGAAACCCCAGTAGGCAGCCAGACTTCAAAGGGCTCATGAGGCGTGCAAGAGGACTTCAGTTATTCTCAGTTCTCAGGGTACCAGTAAACACACTGTAGCCAGCGCCAAGGGCCTGAGAAGGCTATGAAAGAGAAGTCTCAATCTGCTTCTTCTCCCAGCGTGTGCTACAACAAGGAGGACCTGTAACTGGGGTCCCCCAAGGTAAATTAGGTCCCCATTGCATGACCTTCTAAATCCAGAGGTATTCTTGATGTTAGTCCAGTATCTCTTCTGCCACTCACTAGTGCTTCCAAGCCATCCATCCTACACTCCACAATCTGCTCAGGAACCTAAATACATCATCAAAGAGGATCCAGACTTCCACCCATATCACTGTCCTTCTCCCATGCCTACCTCAGAATCACCCCAGAACACATTGAGCCTTCTCTCAGGTGAAACAAGGGAGAGAAATACTTCTCTTGGGGACAGGATCTGAGAAGTATTGTCTTTGGGCCTAGCCCATTAAGAGGAGCCGATCGATGCCCAGGAACAAGTCAAAGCCAACCCCATCTCTGTTCCCTCTTAGTCTTCCCTGCTGTGCATTGGCTGCACCTGCCCTTGTCACCAGATCAGTGGTGGCAGCAGTTATATATGAGAGCTCATTATGTGCCCGCTACTGTGCTGTGCACTTGATATAAACAATCTGACTTAATTTTTACTTCCCTCCCATTGAAAGCACTAACATTATTCACATTTCACAGGTGAGGAAACTGAGGCTCAGAGAGATGAAAGAATTTGTCCAAGTGGCAGAGCTAAGATTCAAACTCAGGTTTATCTGACTTCAAACTGCCTATGCCACCTGTTCTTTTTTGATCACGGCTACCCATTGCTTCTTCAGACCCCCATGCCAATTTAATCGACATATTTGGGTTATATTCTGCAGCTGGCCAACCTCAGCCTCCTTTCAGACCCTTCAAATACATTTGCTCACATTCCCACTCTCACTTCCTCCCTCAGATTTGGGGTACCCATGGCTCTAAGCCAGAGGGCCTCTCTGCCAGATAGTAGAGACCTGACATATCAGACCCTTATTGATGGAAACATGTACCCAGAGGCTGGGTATTTATGGAGCCATTATATGAGCATGGCCTAGAACAAATATTCCTCAAATCTAGAAATAACTATTCCCTACATTTCACCAAATCATTTAACCTCATGCCTCCCCAAACCAGGGTTTTATCAAATCACTTACACATTTTCATGCACCTCATTCACACTTGCATTCTTTGCCACTAAAGTACTAGATAGTTGTGAAATTTACCCCAATCTGTGGATGTATAATGTTATTCATGGTTTTATTCTTGAATGTTTTAAAATAGTAAAAAAGATACGTTTGTTAGCCTGTATCAGCCTTGAAAGATTACTGTCAAAAAGTCTGTATTTTTGAGATGTTTATTCGTATTTTCTTTTCTTTCTTTTTTTTTTTCTTGGAGAAATCAAATCAGAGATGAAGACAAAACTTGGTGAGCAGGGTCCGCAGATCCTCAGTGTCCAGAGAGTCTACATTCAGACAAGGGAAGAGAAGCGTATTAACCTGACCATTGGTAGCAGAGCCTATTTGCTGCCCAACACATCCGTGATTATTAAGTGCCCCGTGCGACGATTCCAGAAATCTCTGATCCAGTGGGAGAAGGATGGCCGTTGCCTGCAGAACTCCAAACGGCTTGGCATCACCAAGTCAGGCTCACTAAAAATCCATGGTCTTGCTGCCCCCGACATCGGCGTGTACCGGTGCATTGCAGGCTCTGCACAGGAAACAGTTGTGCTCAAGCTCATTGGTACTGACAACCGGCTCATCGCACGCCCAGCCCTCAGGGAGCCTATGAGGGAATATCCTGGGATGGACCACAGCGAAGCCAATAGTTTGGGAGTCACATGGCACAAAATGAGGCAAATGTGGAATAACAAAAATGACCTTTATCTGGATGATGACCACATTAGTAACCAGCCTTTCTTGAGAGCTCTGTTAGGCCACTGCAGCAATTCTGCAGGAAGCACCAACTCCTGGGAGTTGAAGAATAAGCAGTTTGAAGCAGCAGTTAAACAAGGAGCATATAGCATGGATACAGCCCAGTTTGATGAGCTGATAAGAAACATGAGTCAGCTCATGGAAACCGGAGAGGTCAGCGATGATCTTGCGTCCCAGCTGATATATCAGCTGGTGGCCGAATTAGCCAAGGCACAGCCAACACACATGCAGTGGCGGGGCATCCAGGAAGAGACACCTCCTGCTGCTCAGCTCAGAGGGGAAACAGGGAGTGTGTCCCAAAGCTCGCATGCAAAAAACTCAGGCAAGCTGACATTCAAGCCGAAAGGACCTGTTCTCATGAGGCAAAGCCAACCTCCCTCAATTTCATTTAATAAAACAATAAATTCCAGGATTGGAAATACAGTATACATTACAAAAAGGACAGAGGTCATCAATATACTGTGTGACCTTATTACCCCCAGTGAGGCCACATATACATGGACCAAGGATGGAACCTTGTTACAGCCCTCAGTAAAGTAAGTAAAATAAAAATGCAGTATTCATTTTTGCACTACCTTCTTAATGGCTATTCCAGTTTTCTTGAAAATATTTTCAAATTCCTCTCCTAAGCATGTGTTTCCAACAGGATTCTTTAGGAAAGAAACTAAAAAATGTTAAGATGTGTTTTTCACATATACGTTGGAATTTTTAAATTCAACCGCCATATCATCCCAATCACTGTCGTAGAGGTGTGATATGACTGGATCCAGCAAGAATAAGTTTAAGCATATATACACTCCCCCTTTACTCAGCACTTGGCATTTAAAAATAAAATCAATATAAGGCCATTTTAAAAGTAAGCTTATTAATAGTAATCCTACATTATGTTGGAACTGCAAATCAGAATTTACAGAGCTCTTCCATGTCTAGGAGATGTGGTATCTTATTTGAGCTCACATCAGCCCCATGAGATTGGCAGGGCAGGGGTTAACCTTTCTGATGAGGTAATTGAGAAGCAGAATCCCATGACTACTTCATGGCCAATCAGAACCAAGGGCCGTATCTCTTGAATACCCACCAGTGGTATTTGAGTATCACACAAATACGTAGCCTTGTCAAAAGCTTGGGTATCTGAAGTAGTTTTCTATTATCATGCAATTTTTAAATGTCATACAATCCAAAAATAAGAATCATAGTGTTTTGAGATGTTCAAAACACAGTATTAAGTCACATATTATTCTGATCTCTATGCCAGTGTAAAAATGTCACATTTCCTTTATTTTACATAACAGATACTAATTTACTTTTGCATTCTTTATTGCCTTCAAATCTTGCTGTTTGTATACAAAGTACTATAGACATTGTGCCTTCTTTTGATTCACATGTAAGAGCTCCAGCTCTACCTTATCTGCCTTTAGAGATCGTTAAGAGACACAAATAACACAGCAGATGTGAAACTGTTTTGCATATCACAAGGTACTTTCAAAATGCAAGTTTTACTTTTATCATGTCCTTTGTGCATTGAGCCTCGTATGTGAAACATCAGAAAAAACTTAGGTAAAATTCAGTTTTTTAAAATAATAAACTATTAGGCTATATCTTAAAAAGGTAGAAAAAATCTAATTTTTGAATTTTTAATGCTAGAACTATGAACACAAGAGTACAATGAAATTTTAGAAGTAGAATAAACCTTAAAACATAGCAGTTCTCAGAGCTTTTGGTTTTAGACTCTTTAAAATTTAAAAATGATTGAGGAGCCTAAAGAGCTTTTGTAAATGTGAGTTGTATCTATTGCTGTTTACCTCACTAGAAATTAAAACCAAGAAACATTGAAAATATCTCCATTAATCTATTTAGAAAAAATAATGGGCCTATAACATGTTCATACAAATAACATATTTTTTGAAAACCCTCCCCCTGCCACCAAAATTACTGATAACAGTGGAATTGCTTTCCATCTTTGCAGATCTCTTTAATGTCTGGTATAATAAAAGAAGACAGCTGGATTCTTTTTCCACATCTGTTGTGAAATGTTGTTTTAGTTAAAGTATATGGAGAAAATAAATGTGTGCTATACAAATGTGTTAGCTGGAAGAGAAAGAATATTTTAATATCTTTTCAGATAATTGTGGATACTCTTTAATTCTACACTAAAACTAGACAAAGGGTCATTTCTCAAAGGTTAGTTGAAATGTGCAATCTGAAACTATATTAATGAAATGTTGGTACTCTGTTTAATGAAATCTGCTGTTTTTTTCTTGCATTTTGAATAGACTTTTTACCCATACAAGATTTTTTAACACCATACATTGGTCATTTGGAAAATATTGGCTCACTGAGTGATACAGGCCTTCCAAATGTTGGTGCATTTCATTATGCAATGTAAAAAAAATACACATTTAAAAAAATCACCGTGTATCTCATAAAAAAAAAAGTCTTTAAGTTTTGGGAAGCTGTCAGACTTACAGTGGTGGATACCAGTTTTCCAAAATTCTAATTTTCACATCAAACCTTTTTCATCATTGGCAACAAATACTGTCAGTTGTGTCATTGAATTGGCCAGCTCATTTAAAAAATATATATATATATATCTACCAAATACCCAACTTTAAATCATAGTGTGGACTTTTTTGTCATAGTTTATTGGTCATTCTTTCAAGTAAAAATCATATTCCATGAAAGAAGCCACCAGTTCTTCAGCATGCAGTGGAAGTGCTTTGTGTGTACTTCCCATTGTGTCGTATGGGATATGAAAAACGTATGGACCCAAGGGTCAAGATTTAGTAAGATTAATACCTTTTACTACTTCATTAAAGACATTTCTTTTTTTTTCTTTTCTTTATTGAGACAGTCTCGCTTTGTCACCCAGGCTGGAGTGCAGTGGTGGCATCTCAGCTTACTGCAACCTCTGCCTCCTCGTTTCAAGTGATTCTCCTGCTTCAGCCTCCCAAGTAACTGGGATTACAGGTGAACACCACCACCCCCAGCTAATTGTATTTTTAGTAGAGATAGGGTTTCACCATGTTGGCCAGGTTGGTCTTGAACTCCTGACCTCAAGTGATCCACCCACCTCGGCCTCCCAAAGTGCTGGGATTACAGGCATGAGTCGCCACGCCTGGCCGTTAAGGACATTCTTAAGGGAAACTGGCATTTTTTTTTTTTCTGCAAGTAAAACATAGTAGTCAAGAATACAGTAATTACTGGTACACTTCAATATCACTGTCTTGGTTCATGCTAAGGTGCCAGCAGTCTTACCAACACTGCCTTTGCACTCTCAGTGCAAAGGTCAATACCGTTTTTAAAAAGGCTAATTAATGGCTTCGTATTATTATAAAACTAGCTTTGACTTCATAGACTTCTGGGGGGTTCATGGACTATGCTTTGAAGACTGCTAACTTGGTTCAATAATCCATTTTATAAATTGTAAGGAAAGAGAGGCTGACAAGGTTGAAGTGATCTGTTGACCTATGGCCATATAAGTACTACAATGATATAGAGGAGCCTGGTCAGTTTAAATAAATATTTATTTGAGTTCATTTTAAATAGATTGACTTGATGGAATGGCGTTAACATAAGTTTATCAGGCTGAGACCCCTGGAGCTTGTATAAAGAAGTTTTGACATGGTACATCCTCCTTAGATGTGTTTCTGCATCCTTTAAAGATCAGCCATTCAAAACAGAAGCAATTTCATATGTCTAATAAAAGGTTTTGTTTTTAATTTTTAAGATAATAAGATCCATTTTCATTTCTATTTTTCCTCCAAAACCTACCCAATTAATTTGTTCAATTTATGTTTAATTCCCTTTACATAACAAATGTTCTCATCTTTAAATATACTTTCTGAATCTTACAAATCTTTTCAGTTGAAGTAATTGAGAAATGGAATTATGTTCCTGAAAGCCTCATTCAATGAGAGAAACTGTGTAGGCATGGAGTACTGTTCGGATGACAATTGAGTAAGAAATCTCAACTAGGAAGAGAAGTTTGTGGGTGTATCAATTAGAGATGGTGCCTATAGAAAGATCAACTTTGTTATTACTTCAAGTTAAGAGTAAGATTACGCAGCAGAGGCCAAGGTCATATGTGTTACAGAATTCAACCTGGTGGTTCTCCAGCCCAAGGACAGATCCAGGCTAGGTACCCAGTGGCCCCACCTGTCATGTAAGGTTCACGCATGCTCAGCTATTTCTGATCTCAATGATTTCTCACTGGACTGTTACCTGAAACCTACAAAACAAAGGCATTATTTGAGAATTCCTAAATCATGCAAACATATATATGAAATAATTTAAGAAAATGATTTAATATGTTTATTTTTCATGTGTAGTCACTGGTTAGACTTTTGCTTTTAACCAACTATTTCTCCTCCATCAGGATTTGACACTGAAAATCTTGCCTTACTAACAGCGAGGTCTGCCATACTCTTGTTGCTCTGAGACACTTTCGCTGTTTTGACTTCTGCCAGCTTTTGTATATTTCTTATGTGTGCTGCAGCAGGGCTTGTATGCTCTTGGTACTATTGCTCTGTGCCATTATTTCATACTATTCTAATCATTCATACATTTAGTCATCAAAGATTTTTGAGAACTTGCTATATAAAAGTCTAAGCAGTGAGTATGCACAGCTGTGAATAAGATTTGGTTCCTGCCCTTGAAAAGATCACAGTCTAGTGGGAAGAAATAGATATTTCATCAAATAAATATATGAACCAGAGAAGAAGGAGCCCAGAGGAGACAGAAGATAACTCTAGGAGTATTGGGGAAAACTTTACAGGGGAAATTACATTTGATCCAGGACTCAGTGGGCGGGTCTGAGTTTGCCAGAAAGGAGGAAGGGCATTTCAAATGAAGTGAACAACATATGCAAAAGCTCACAGTAATGAAAGATCATGGAATGTTCTGGAAACAGTTAAGGTTCATTATGACTGAAGCATAGAGCGAACGACATGAAGTGACAGGAAATAAAGAAGTGGCACAGTTCATTTCATGATGAAACATACAGTATTTAGAGGGCAGAATAGTCCATATTGCTAAGATCTATGAAGTGAGATGGGGCAGGGGAAAAATAGTATATAAACCACTGATCCGGGTGATTTAGAAGCAGATTCAAATTATTAAGAATAAAATAAAATAAAAGAACAAGCACTCTTCCCTTCCTAACAAAGGTTCTTCTCACCTTTAGATATATTTTCTGAATCTCTGAATTATTATCTAATTGGTTAGGCTACACCTGACCAACTCTGATTCTCAAAGCGGTATTTACACACAGGATTTTAGGAATATCAGTAATTGGGAAACCATAATGAACTCATGCAGGTTAGCCCTAATTCTTAACAGCATGGTCCAAATCCAGTGTATGCCACAGACTTAGCATGATGACCTCAATCGACTTCTTCATACAGGAATAATGAGACCATAATCCATTGCAAAGCAGCCTTAGCCAAAGCCCAATCACCTCCAGCATGAAAATCCAAACAGAAAATCCACACCTGCAGTTTGTTAGGAAGGATTCGGGCAGAAAAGGAGTGTTTAACATCCAGCAAATGAATAGGTTTGCTAGGTTGTCTTTTTTTAAAATGTGGCAGATTAAGCATTGAGTTCACCAGAAAAGTCTTTTCTCATGTAAAGTGGGATGGGAAGACTGGATCTCTAAGCACTGTTGAGCTCTAACGTTGCTGTTAACCTATAGCAAGAGGAAACACTCCACCCTCCTGGTCTATATAGTTCTCTGCTTATAGGCAGGATGCTGGACAAAATTATCCTTTGTGAGCTTTGCCAGCCCAAAGCCTGTAATGGTGCAGTCTTCTTTCTCTGCAACTCACTGTAGCCCTAGGTCAGTTAAATTGTTATATGAATGTGTCGTCTTTCTAACTGTTCTACAGAATAATTTTGGATGGAACTGGGAAGATACAGATACAGAATCCTACAAGGAAAGAACAAGGCATATATGAATGTTCTGTAGCTAATCATCTTGGTTCAGATGTGGAAAGTTCTTCTGTGCTGTATGCAGGTAATGCCCACTGTTGAAATCTAGAATGCCTGGTTCTTTATTTTTTATTTTTATTTATTTATTTATTTATTTTTTTTTTTTGAGACAGAGTCTCGCTCTGTCGCCCAGGCTGGAGTGCAGTGGCGTGATCTCGGCTCACTGTAAGCTCCGCCTCCCGGGTTCACGCCATTCTCCAGCCTCAGCCTCCCGAGTAGCTGGGGACTACAGGCGCCCGCCACCACGCCCGGCTAATTTTTTGTATTTTTAGTAGAGACGGGGTTTCACCATGTTAGCCAGGATGGTCTCGATCTCCTGACCTCGTGATCCACCCGCCTTGGCCTCCCAGAGTGCTGGGATTACAGGCGTGAGCCACCGCGCCTGGCTGTTTATTTGTTTTTAACATTAAATTCTAGAGCAGCAGTTCTCATTAGCAGCTGTCAGAATCATCTGGAGTGCTTGTTAAAATACAGATTGCTGGACTCCACCCCTAGAAGTTCTGGCTTAGTAGGTTTGGGTTGGAGTCTGAGAATCAGCATTTTCAACATGTGCCCAGGTTATGCCAATGCTGCCGGTCTGAGGACCACACTGAAAACAGCTGCTCAGGAACTCACTTTCTAAGAATCAGGAAATAATGAGATGGAGTTTAACTGGCAGTGTTGATATTAATGAACTTTGCATTTTTTAAAGTTCCATCAGTCAACAAAAAAGAATAATTATCTTTTATAGATTGCAATTACCTCCCAGTGGCATACCTGCCAATCCTGAGAAACACCTCCAGGAAGTTGTAACTATAAAGTAGTGTGAGTCTTCTTGGGAGGTGGACAATGTCATTTGGATATTAAAATATGCTTTTATTATAAAGAAACATTTTTAATACTTAGTACTGCCATTGTCCAGCTCAGGCACAAAGTATGCTTCCTGAGTGAGTGAATAAATTAATCTGGCAACTAAATATCAAAATCCAAAGAAAATAAACATTTTAAAATGGACGTTTGATTCTTTATGACCTTGTTTGTATTATTTTTGCATGCAAATTTTATACATGTATTTGCTTCGTATTAATTAAACGTTAACTTTGCATTTTTCTTGCAGACAGTTCTGCTCCACTTGTAATAACCTCATATGGTCTCATAAAGTGGGAAGTCAGACATTTTCTCTCTTGAGACTTTCTGCAGTGTAGAGATGTAAATAATGTTTTAAATAGGTCTCCTTGCAATTGATGGTCTTTAAATAGTCTTTTCTATTTTAGATTGAAATGAGTTTATTTAAGTAGGGTCAGACAGGGCCTCTCTGAACCACACATTGGGTGAGGGAACTGCAGTTGGAAGAGATCTTCTAACCCAATCATTTTTTTAATGGGATTCAAACTGAAGTCCAGAGAGGGAAGATTTTGCCCAAGCACACATATAGCTTATTAGAAGAGGCTCAACAAGAATCGTGGCCTCCTACCTGTCTCATCTTTCTCCAGTACAGCTTTGAATGAGCTCTGAACCGTGGTTACATCCTGGCATCCACATGTCAGCCTGGCTGTGGCACCATATTCAGAAAAACTTTATAAGGATTAGGTACCACATTTATATTGAAAATGCCTGTGTACATCTCCTTCTGCACCCCTACACCTTGTGCTTATCGAAAGAGGAGATACTTCTCATCTTGTACCCAGGTATTTCTCATCTTGTACCCAGGTGCAGACCACAGAGTGGACACTTGGTAAATGTTTACATTGGAAAAAACCTCTTATTACGCTGGGCCCAATGAGGGACAACAGAATGGATCAGGACCTTCTGTCCTGTCTTCATCAACCCCCTCCCCCAGTATCTCACATCCCTCCTTCCAGAAAAAGAGTCAGGTAGTCCCAAGCCCCAGTGTGTTTTGGCCCTACATTAATTCATTCATGGCTGCACTGCAGAGACATCATTCCTGCTCTGCCTGTCTTCTTTGCTTCTTATGAGCTTCTGAATTCCTTTTTTTTTCAAATTATCAAAGAGGAATTTATCCTCAATTTTAGTTATAAAACCAAAATATCCTCATAGTCTATACATACTGTTGTTGCAATGTACCTTTGAATTCATCGAACCATCTATCCATTCATCCATCTGTCCGTATGTCCACTGAGCACCTCCAGGTATGTATGTGCACATCCCCACGGTGCACCTTGAGGGATACAGAGAGAACCAGGACTCCACTCCTGCCCTCAAAGGGCTCAACAAAGCTTACCAAATGCAATATGTTTTACCAAAGAGCAAAAGCCTGAACCTAACATAGTTTCCTGCTCCCTTTGAATTAAGAGGCACCTGTCATCTTGTCTGTTGAAAGAAATATCACCAAACCAGAGCACAACCATCTGTCTGTTGTGGTTGGAGGCATCGTGGAGGCAGCCCTTGGAGCAAACGTGACAATCCGATGTCCTGTAAAAGGTAAGTGTGGTCATTTCAGTGGGAGGCCATTTCAGTGGGAGGTAAGTGTGGCCATCCCAGTGTTGCCAGGAAACACCAGCTGGCATTTTGGTATTCGAGACCTCAGCCTGATAGGCTTAAAAAAAAGATTTTCCAGCACACTGACAGTGGATCTAACTCTCAAGGGTGAGGTCATACTGGCTCATGAGACCGATGTATAAAACAGAATGCCAAGTTACTTGTTTCCAGTGTGGACTGTGACTGCCATGCACACTGGAATGTTCATATTGGCAAGACCAGAACACTCTGTCCCTATGGGTAGATCTACAAAAGAGGCCAACTTTTAGTCAGAGGGTTACTTGGTGAATACAAAGTCAGAGGAGGGGATTTGTGGGAAATTGTAAGACATGTCCTCTAGATAGACAAAAGCTACACTTGGCAAAGCCAGATCGGGGAGCTAGAATGTCCCCTGGCCTAGGCTCTCTTCTGGATTGTCCCTGGGTAAGTGTCAGCAGCCTGTTCCTCAGTGGCTCTTTCTCCCGTGTTTACAACTGCAGACAAACCTCCTTTCTAATGTTCACACTCTTTCTTTAACAGAATTGACACTTTCAGTCTGACTTTGCCTTAATCTAGGGCCATCCTGTCTCATTAAGCCATGGATTCTTAAGTCTTCATCTGGGCCCATGCATCTCTGAACTGTAGATAAATATTATATGCTGCATATACATGTACATTTTACAGGGGCCAGGAGAGGTGGGAGTGAGGGGGTTTTGTGAATAGCGTTTTATTGCTTCCTTAGAGAAACTTATGAACTCCTCCAAATTGAGATATACTCTTTTAAGATGACTTTGCGTATGCCTTTGATTTCCCTAGCTTCCAAGTTCTAATTAGATACCTGTAGTTGCAGCCACCTAAGATGAGTCTTGCCTAGGCTGTGACCCTGATTGCCTAGGGTGACAGAGGAGCTTTTGCTGCTGCTCTTAGAAATGCAGTGAGGGTGCATGTAATGAGGGATCCCAGGACACACTTATCCAGCTTTCAGGCTCTCCCTCCACTGTCATGATCAGTTACTTGCCATGTTTCCAAAGCTGCACCTTTGGCTCTACAAACAGTGGAAATTTGCTAACCCCCAAGATATTGTTTTTCACCCCTTGGAAATCCCTGCAGTGTTTGGCCTATGCAGACTTTTGAAAAATTGCTCCAGGCTCCCAACTGACTCCACCCACAAATATGTGAGTTTTCTGGCAAAATACACCCACCATTACAGAAAGGGCCGGCATTCTCTGGCCATAGCAAGGAGAAAAGCAGAACGGAACTCTGCAGATGCCAAGCCACAGATGTCTAAAGTTTCTACAGCCCTATACCTGCAGAGGATTCTGAAAAATAGATCTGACTTCTATTAAGAGAAACCTCAGCTTTCAACATGACTTCTAAATTTTTCACTTCCACAATACTTGAAAATCAGGCTTTCAGGGAGATGAGCCATTAAAAGGATTGGAGTGCATTATTTGCTATCGGAAGTCAAAGACTGGATTGGGTGGAAACTGCAAGTAAAGCCTCCAGCAAAGACCATTAAACTCATCTAGTTTTATTCTCATCCAGGCCCAGTCAGACATGGGCTATCTCTGACCCTCCCCAGCCCCACAGCCCTCCTGCCCTGTGCTGTGGGGCCATGGGTCTGCAGCACTGCTGCCTAGATGGAGCTCAGCACTGGGAGTACTCATCTCTCCCCTTCCTCCCTCACCTTTCAGCTCTTACTAGGAATTGTCCCATTTGGCCTTTCTTTATCTGGCAGTCTTCCCCCATGGACTCAGACCCCAGAACTCCTGATGAGTTCTTTCCTTTTAAAAATAAACCTGCCTCCAAATGCACCACAATCATTTTGAGTTATTTGCCATTTTAAACAAACCTGTAGTGAACTTACAGTGTTTTCTTATGGGCAGAAGCCATACCTAATGGAGTTTTCTAGGGAAATTCATCTTTTTTAAGACAGATGGTGAAGTTGATGAAGGGTCAGAAAACTTGAGTTTTACAGACAGTCTTGTCACTAGCTAGTATGTAACCATAGGTGAGTCATATATCTTTCTTCCCTCATCTCTAAAGCAGGGAATATATTATATTAATAGAAGAAGAGACTGTGGTTATCATCCAATTCAGTTTTTCATCTTATAGATGAGTACATTAAAACATAATTTACAAAATTGAACTCTGCTTTACAAATTACATTTTTATATTGCAAATTGGGATTTCTGTAAATCAGTGGCATATATAATTTTTTTATTTGTTTAGTTGCCTTAGACTATTTCCCACTAATTGTAATGAACTTATTTTTATAGACCCCATAACACATATTCATAGCTTCTAGAGAAGTTCATCTTTTTTTATAGCCAAACATGTTTTGTCAACCCATGTGGTATGGATATCAATAGGGATTATCCCTAGTCATTCTTAGAGATATTTCTTTTAACTATATTGAATAACAGAACCTAAAAGTCCACATATTTGCCTATTTCTAAAGGTTAAAACTTCTAACTTGCGAGAGTTATTTGCCTTGCTCTTTAAAAAAAAGTTTTTTTCTGTCCATTTGGGTGGGGGTAATTTAAAGCGCACCTTTTTTGCCACCTTCTGGTAAGAAAGAAAAGCTCATCTGGGGAAAATCACCAGAAAATATCAGTTGCTGCATGTTTTATTTTCTTTCAGGTTAATGCATAGTAAGAACATTACTTATCCTGTAATTTTCTGTTGTGTATTACATGTTGTTTATGTTATTCCTTAAGCTCATCAGAGATGCAGCTGACGTGAGTCCCTTCTCTAAAGTGTTTTGTTGTGTGTCACGCTCCTCTTTAGTCTGTAAGGAACTCTCTTGGCCCACAGATGGTAATGAGTTTGAGCTAGATGGTGATTCCCAAATGAAGGGCACTGGCAAAGCCATCAATGGCCCAGCCCTAAGCTTAGAAAATTTCTTAAACACAAGGTGCACTGGACAACTGCTTCTTAGAGCAAACTCAAACTG